>NC_000011.10:51784209-51945698 GCF_000001405.40 Homo sapiens | reverse complement strand
CTTCTGTCTAGGTTTGATGTGGATATATACCCGTTTCGAAGGAAGGCCACAAAGTGGTCCAAATATCCACTTGCATATTATACAAAAAGAGTGTCAGAAAGTTGAACTATGAAACCAAGGTGGAAGTTCATGCCTGTAATACCAGCACTTCAGAAGGCCAAGGCAGGAGAATCATTTGAGCCCAAGAGTCCGAGACCATCTGTCTAGGTTTGATGTGAAGATATACCCGTTTCGAAGGAAGGCCACAAAGTGGTCCAAATATCCACTTGCAGATTCTACAAAAAGAGTGTTTGAAAGCTGAACTATGAAAGCAAGGTTCAACTCTGTGAGATGAATGCAAACATCACAAAGAAGTTTCTCAGCATGCTTCCGTGTAGTTCTGGGAAGTTTATCCCGTTTCCAACGAAATCCTCAGAGAGGTCCAAATATCCACTTGCAGATTCTACAGAAAGTGTGTTTGGAAACTGCGCCATCTAAAGGAATGTTCAGCTCTGTTAGTTCAATTCAATGATCACTAAGAATTGTCTGTGAATGCTTCCGTTTGGTTTTTAGATGAAGTTATTTCCTTTACTACAGTAGGCCTCAAAGCAGTCCAAATCTCCAATCGCAGATTCTACAAAAAGATTGTTTACAACCTGCTCTATCTATAGGAATGTTCAACTCTGTGAGTCGAATGCAATCATCACAAAGTAGTTTCTGAGAATGCTTCCATCTAGTTTGTATGTGAAGATTTTCCTTTTCCACCACAGGCCTCAAAGCCCTCCAAATGTCCACTTGCAGATTCTAGAATAAGAGGGTTTCAGAGCTGCTCTGTCAAGAGGAAAGTTCAATTCCTGAAGTGGAACACAAACATCACAAAGCAGTTTCTGAGAATGCTTCTGTTTAGTTTTTCTGTGAAGATGAACCCGTTTCCAACGAAATCTTCACAGAGGTCCACATATCCACTTGCAGAATCCAAAGAAGGAGAGTTTCAAAACTGCTCCATCAGCAGGATTGTTCACCTCTGTGAGTTGAATGCAGTCATCACAGGAAACATTCTGAGAATGCTTCTGTCTAGGTTTGATGTGAAGATATACCCGTTTCGAAGGAAGGCCACAAAGTGGTCCAAATATCCACTTGCAGATTCTACAAAAAGAGTGTTTGAAAGCTGAACTATGAAAGCAAGGTTCAACTCTGTGAGTTGAATGCAAACATCACAAAGAAGTTTCTCAGAATGCTTCCGTGTAGTTCTGGGAAGTTTATCCCGTTTCCAACGAAATCCTCAGAGAGGTCCAAATATCCACTTTCAGATTCTACAGAAAGTGTGTTTGGAAACTGCGCCATCTAAAGGAATGTTCAGCTCTGTTAGTTCAATGCAATGATCACTAAGAATTGTCTGTGAATGCTTCCGTTTGGTTTTTAGATGAAGTTATTTCCTTTACTACAGTAGGCCTCAAAGCAGTCCAAATCTCCAATCACAGATTCTGCAAAAAGATTGTTTACAACCTGCTCTATCTATAGGAATGTTCAACTCTTTGAGTCGAATGCAATCATCACAAAGTAGTTTCTGAGAATGCTTCCATCTAGTTTTTATGTGAAGATTTTCCTTTTCCACCACAGGCCTCAAAGCCCTCCAAATGTCCACTTGCAGATTCTAGAAAAAGAGGGTTTCAGAGCTGCTCTGTCAAGAGGAAAGTTCAATTCTTGAAGTGGAACACAAACATCACAAAGCAGTTTCTGAGAATGCTTCTGTTTAGTTTTTCTGTGAAGATGAACCCGTTTCCAACGAAATCTTCACAGAGGTCCACATATCAACTTGCAGAATCCAAAGAAAGAGAGTTTCAAAACTGCTCCATCAACAGGATTGTTCACCTCTGTGAGTTGAATGCAGTCATCACAGGAAACATTCTGAGAATGCTTCTGTCTAGGTTTGATGTGAAGATATACCCGTTTCGAAGGAAGGCCACAAAGTGGTCCAAATATCCACTTGCAGATTCTACAAAAAGAGTGTTTGAAAGCTGAACTATGAAAGCAAGGTTCAACTCTGTGAGTTGAATGCAAACATCACAAAGAAGTTTCTCACAATGCTTCCGTGTAGTTCTGGGAAGTTTATCCCGTTTCCAACGAAATCCTCAGAGAAGTCCAAATATCCACTTGCAGATTCTACAGAAAGTGTGTTTGGAAACTGCGCTATCTAAAGGAATGTTCAGCTCTGTTAGTTCAATGCAATGATCACTAAGAATTATCTGTGAATGCTTCCGTTTGGTTTTTAGATGAAGTTATTTCCTTTACTACAGTAGGCCTCAAAGCAGTCCAAATCTCCAATCGCAGATTCTACAAAAAGATTGTTTACAACCTGCTCTATCTATAGGAATGTTCAACTCTGTGAGTCGAATGCAATCATCACAAAGTAGTTTCTGAGAATGCTTCCATCTAGTTTTTATGTGAAGATTTTCCTTTTCCACCACAGGCCTCAAAGCCCTCCAAATGTCCACTTGCAGATTCTAGAATAAGAGGGTTTCAGAGCTGCTCTGTCAAGAGGAAAGTTCAATTCCTGAAGTGGAACACAAACTTCACAAAGCAGTTTCTGAGAATGTTTCTTTTTAGTTTTTCTGGGAAGATGAACCCGTTTCCAACGAAATCTTCACAGAGGTCCACATATCCACTTGCAGAATCCAAAGAAAGAGAGTTTCAAAACTGCTCCATCAACAGGATTGTTCACCTCTGTGAGTTGAATGCAGTCATCACAGGAAACATTCTGAGAATTCTTCTGTCTAGGTTTGATGTGAAGATATACCCGTTTCGAAGGAAGGCCACAAAGTGGTCCAAATATCCACTTGCAGATTCTACAAAAAGAGTGTTTGAAAGCTGAACTATGAAAGCAAGGTTCAACTCTGTGAGTTGAATGCAAACATCACAAAGAAGTTTCTCAGAATGCTTCCGTGTAGTTCTGGGAAGTTTATCCCGTTTCCAAAGAAATCCTCAGAGAAGTCCAAATATCCACTTGCAGATTCTACAGAAAGTGTGTTTGGAAACTGCTCCATCTAAAGGAATGTTCAGCTCTGTTAGTTCAATGCAATGATCACTAAGAATTGTCTGTGAATGCTTCCGTTTGGTTTTTAGATGAAGTTATTTCCTTTACTACAGTAGGCCTCAAAGCAGTCCAAATCTCCAATCGCAGATTCTACAAAAAGATTGTTTACAACCTGCTCTATCTATAGGAATGTTCAACTCTGTGAGTCGAATGCAATCATCACAAAGTAGTTTCTGAGAATGCTTCCATCTAGTTTTTATGTGAAGATTTTCCTTTTCCACCACAGGCCTCAAAGCCCTCCAAATGTCCACTTGCAGATTCTAGAAAAAGAGGGTTTCAGAGCTGCTCTGTCAAGAGGAAAGTTCAATTCTTGAAGTGGAACACAAACATCACAAAGCAGTTTCTGAGAATGCTTCTGTTTAGTTTTTCTGTGAAGATGAACCCGTTTCCAACGAAATCTTCACAGAGGTCCACATATCCACTTGCAGAATCCAAAGAAAGAGAGTTTCAAAACTGCTCCATCAACAGGATTGTTCACCTCTGTGAGTTGAATGCAGTCATCACAGGAAACATTCTGAGAATGCTTCTGTCTAGGTTTGATGTGAAGATATACCCGTTTCGAAGGAAGGCCACAAAGTGGTCCAAATATCCACTTGCAGATTCTACAAAAAGAGTGTTTGAAAGCTGAACTATGAAAGCAAGGTTCAACTCTGTGAGTTGAATGCAAACATCACAAAGAAGTTTCGCACAATGCTTCCGTGTAGTTCTGGGAAGTTTATCCCGTTTCCAACGAAATCCTCAGAGAAGTCCAAATATCCACTTGCAGATTCTACAGGAAGTGTGTTTGGAAACTGCTCCATCTAAAGGAATGTTCAGCTCTGTTAGTTCAATCCAATGATCACTAAGAATTGTCTGTGAATGCTTCCGTTTGGTTTTTAGATGAAGTTATTTCCTTTACTACAGTAGGCCTCAAAGCAGTCCAAATCTCCAATCGCAGATTCTACAAAAAGATTGTTTACAACCTGCTCTATCTATAGGAATGTTCAACTCTGTGAGTCGAATGCAATCATCACAAAGTAGTTTCTGAGAATGCTTCCATCTAGTTTTTATGTGAAGATTTTCCTTTTCCACCACAGGCCTCAAAGCCCTCCAAATGTCCACTTGCAGATTCTAGAAAAAGAGGGTTTCAGAGCTGCTCTGTCAAGAGGAAAGTTCAATTCTTGAAGTGGAACACAAACATCACAAAGCAGTTTCTGAGAATGCTTCTGTTTAGTTTTTCTGTGAAGATGAACCCGTTTCCAACGAAATCTTCACAGAGGTCCACATATCCACTTGCAGAATCCAAAGAAAGAGAGTTTCAAAACTGCTCCATCAGCAGGATTGTTCACCTCTGTGAGTTGAATGCAGTCATCACAGGAAACATTCTGAGAATGCTTCTGTCTAGATTTGATGTGAAGATATACCCGTTTCGAAGGAAGGCCACAAAGTGGTCCAAATATCCACTTGCAGATTCTACAAAAAGAGGGTTTGAAAGCTGAACTATGAAAGCAAGGTTCAACTCTGTGAGTTGAATGCAAACATCACAAAGAAGTTTCTCAGAATGCTTCCGTGTAGTTCTGGGAAGTTTATCCCGTTTCCAACGAAATCCTCAGAGAGGTCCAAATATCCACTTGCAGATTCTACAGAAAGTGTGTTTGGAAACTGCGCCATCTAAAGGAATGTTCAGCTCTGTTAGTTCAATGCAATGATCACTAAGAATTGTCTGTGAATGCTTCCATTTGGTTTTTAGATGAAGTTATTTCCTTTACTACAGTAGGCCTCAAAGCAGTCCAAATCTCCAATCGCAGATTCTACAAAAAGATTGTTTACAACCTGCTCTATCTATAGGAATGTTCAACTCTGTGAGTCGAATGCAATCATCACAAAGTAGTTTCTGAGAATGCTTCCATCTAGTTTTTATGTGAAGATTTTCCTTTTCCACCACAGGCCTCAAAGCCCTCCAAATGTCCACTTGCAGATTCTAGAAAAAGAGGGTTTCAGAGCTGCTCTGTCAAGAGGAAAGTTCAATTCTTGAAGTGGAACACAAACATCACAAAGCAGTTTCTGAGAATGCTTCTGTTTAGTTTTTCTGTGAAGATGAACCCGTTTCCAACGAAATCTTCACAGAGGTCCACATATCAACTTGCAGAATCCAAAGAAAGAGAGTTTCAAAACTGCTCCATCAACAGGATTGTTCACCTCTGTGAGTTGAATGCAGTCATCACAGGAAACATTCTGAGAATGCTTCTGTCTAGGTTTGATGTGAAGATATACCCGTTTCGAAGGAAGGCCACAAAGTGGTCCAAATATCCACTTGCAGATTCTACAAAAAGAGTGTTTGAAAGCTGAACTATGAAAGCAAGGTTCAACTCTGTGAGTTGAATGCAAACATCACAAAGAAGTTTCTCACAATGCTTCCGTGTAGTTCTGGGAAGTTTATCCCGTTTCCAACGAAATCCTCAGAGAAGTCCAAATATCCACTTGCAGATTCTACAGAAAGTGGGTTTGGAAACTGCTCCATCTAAAGGAATGTTCAGCTCTGTTAGTTCAATGCAATGATCACTAAGAATAGTCTGTGAATGCTTCCGTTTGGTTTTTAGATGAAGTTATTTCCTTTACTACAGTAGGCCTCAAAGCAGTCCAAATCTCCAATCGCAGATTCTACAAAAAGATTGTTTACAACCTGCTCTATCTATAGGAATGTTCAACTCTGTGAGTCGAATGCAATCATCACAAAGTAGTTTCTGAGAATGCTTCCATCTAGTTTTTATGTGAAGATTTTCCTTTTCCACCACAGGCCTCAAAGCCCTCCAAATGTCCACTTGCAGATTCTAGAAAAAGAGGGTTTCAGAGCTGCTCTGTCAAGAGGAAAGTTCAATTCTTGAAGTGGAACACAAACATCACAAAGTAGTTTCTGAGAATGCTCCTGTTTAGTTTTTCTGTGAAGATGAACCCGTTTCCAACGAAATCTTCACAGAGGTCCACATATCCACCTGCAGAATCCAAAGAAAGAGAGTTTCAAAACTGCTCCATCAGCAGGATTGTTCACCTCTGTGAGTTGAATGCAGTCATCACAAGAAACATTCTGAGAATGCTTCTGTCTAGGTTTGATGTGAAGATATACCCGTTTCGAAGGAAGGCCACAAAGTGGTCCAAATATCCACTTGCAGATTCTACAAAAAGAGTGTTTGAAAGCTGAACTATGAAAGCAAGGTTCAACTCTGTGAGTTGAATGCAAACATCACAAAGAAGTTTCTCAGAATGCTTCCGTGTAGTTCTGGGAAGTTCAGCCCGTTTCCAACGAAATCCTCAGAGAGGTCCAAATATCCACTTGCAGATTCTACAGAAAGTGTGTTTGGAAACTGCTCCATCTAAAGGAATGTTCAGCTCTGTTAGTTCAATCCAATGATCACTAAGAATTGTCTGTGAATGCTCCCGTTTGGTTTTTAGATGAAGTTATTTCCTTTACTACAGTAGGCCTCAAAGCAGTCCAAATCTCCAATCGCAGATTCTACAAAAAGATTGTTTACAACCTGCTCTATCTATAGGAATGTTCAACTCTGTGAGTCGAATGCAATCATCACAAAGTAGTTTCTGAGAATGCTTTCCATCTAGTTTTTATGTGAAGATTTTCCTTTTCCACCACAGGCCTCAAAGCCCTCCAAATGTCCACTTGCAGATTCTAGAAAAAGAGGGTTTCAGAGCTGCTCTGTCAAGAGGAAAGTTCAATTCTTGAAGTGGAAAACAAACATCACAAAGCAGTTTCTGAGAATGCTCCTGTTTAGTTTTTCTGTGAAGATGAACCCGTTTCCAACGAAATCTTCACAGAGGTCCACATATCCACTTGCAGAATCCAAAGAAAGAGAGTTTCAAAACTGCTCCATCAGCAGGATTGTTCACCTCTGTGAGTTGAATGCAGTCATCACAGGAAACATTCTGAGAATGCTTCTGTCTAGGTTTGATGTGAAGATATACCCGTTTCGAAGGAAGGCCAGAAAGTGGTCCAAATATCCACTTGCAGATTCTACAAAAAGAGTGTTTGAAAGCTGAACTATGAAAGCAAGGTTCAACTCTGTGAGTTGAATGCAAACATCACAAAGAAGTTTCTCAGAATGCTTCCGTGTAGTTCTGGGAAGTTTATCCCGTTTCCAACGAAATCCTCAGAGAGGTCCAAATATCCACTTGCAGATTCTACAGAAAGTGTGTTTGGAAACTGCGCCATCTAAGGGAATGTTCAGCTCTGTTAGTTCAATCCAATGATCACTAAGAATTGTCTGTGAATGCTTCCGTTTGGTTTTTAGATGAAGTTATTTCCTTTACTACAGTAGGCCTCAAAGCAGTCCAAATCTCCAATCGCAGATTCTACAAAAAGATTGTTTACAACCTGCTCTATCTATAGGAATGTTCAACTCTGTGAGTCGAATGCAATCATCACAAAGTAATTTCTGAGAATGCTTCCATCTAGTTTTTATGTGAAGATTTTCCTTTTCCACCACAGGCCTCAAAGCCCTCCAAATGTCCACTTGCAGATTCTAGAAAAAGAGGGTTTCAGAGCTGCTCTGTCAAGAGGAAAGTTCAATTCTTGAAGTGGAACACAAACATCACAAAGTAGTTTCTGAGAATGCTTCTGTTTAGTTTTTCTGTGAAGATGAACCCGTTTCCAACGAAATCTTCTCAGAGGTCCACATATCAACTTGCAGAATCCAAAGAAAGAGAGTTTCAAAAGTGCTCCATCAACAGGATTGTTCACCTCTGTGAGTTGAATGCAGTCATCACAGGAAACATTCTGAGAATGCTTCTGTCTAGGTTTGATGTGAAGATATACCCGTTTCGAAGGAAGGCCACAAAGTGGTCCAAATATCCACTTGCAGATTCTACAAAAAGAGTGTTTGAAAGCTGAACTATGAAAGCAAGGTTCAACTCTGTGAGTTGAATGCAAACATCACAAAGAAGTTTCTCAGCATGCTTCCGTGTAGTTCTGGGAAGTTTAGCCCGTTTCCAACGAAATCCTCAGAGAGGTCCAAATATCCACTTGCAGATTCTACAGAAAGTGTGTTTGGAAACTGTGCCATCTAAAGGAATGTTCAGCTCTGTTAGTTCAATCCAATGATCACTAAGAATTTTCTGTGAATGCTTCCGTTTGGTTTTTAGATGAAGTTATTTCCTTTACTACAGTAGGCCTCAAAGCAGTCCAAATCTCCAATCGCAGATTCTACAAAAAGATTGTTTACAACCTGCTCTATCTATAGGAATGTTCAACTCTGTGAGTCGAATGCAATCATCACAAAGTAGTTTCTGAGAATGCTTCCATCTAGTTTTTATGTGAAGATTTTCCTTTTCCACCACAGGCCTCAAAGCCCTCCAAATGTCCACTTGCATACTCTAGAAAAAGAGGGTTTCAGAGCTGCTCTGTCAAGAGGAAAGTTCAATTCTTGAAGTGGAACACAAACATCACAAAGCAGTTTCTGAGAATGCTCCTGTTTAGTTTTTCTGTGAAGATGAACCCGTTTCCAACGAAATCTTCACAGAGGTCCACATATCAACTTGCAGAATCCAAAGAAAGAGAGTTTCAAAACTGCTCCATCAGCAGGATTGTTCACCTCTGTGAGTTGAACGCAGTCATCACAGGAAACATTCTGAGAATGCTTCTGTCTAGGTTTGATGTGAAGATATACCCGTTTCGAAGGAAGGCCACAAAGTGGTCCAAATATCCACTTGCAGATCCTACAAAAAGAGTGTTTGAAAGCTGAACTATGAAAGCAAGGTTCAACTCTGTGAGTTGAATGCAAACATCACAAAGAAGTTTCTCACAATGCTTCCGTGTAGTTCTGGGAAGTATATCCCGTTTCCAACGACATCCTCAGAGAAGTCCAAATATCCACTTGCAGATTCTACAGAAAGTGTGTTTGGAAACTGCTCCATCTAAAGGAATGTTCAGCTCTGTTAGTTCAATCCAATGATCACTAAGAATTGTCTGTGAATGCTTCCGTTTGGTTTTTAGATGAAGTTATTTCCTTTACTACAGTAGGCCTCAAAGCAGAACAAATCTCCAATCGCAGATTCTACAAAAAGATTGTTTACAACCTGCTCTATCTATAGGAATGTTCAACTCTGTGAGTCGAATGCAATCATCACAAAGTAGTTTCTGAGAATGCTTCCATCTAGTTTTTATGTGAGGATTTTCCTTTTCCACCACAGGCCTCAAAGCCCTCCAAATGTCCACTTGCAGATTCTAGAAAAAGAGGGTTTCAGAGCTGCTCTATCAAGAGGAAAGTTCAATTCCTGAAGTGGAACACAAACATCACAAAGCAGTTTCTGAGAATGCTTCTGTTTAGTTTTTCTGTGAAGATGAACCCGTTTCCAACGAAATCTTCACAGAGGTCCACATATCCACTTGCAGAATCCAAAGAAAGAGAGTTTCAAAACTGCTCCATCAGCAGGATTGTTCACCTCTGTGAGTTGAATGCAGTCATCACAGGAAACATTCTGAGAATGCTTCTGTCTAGGTTTGATGTGAAGATATACCCGTTTCGAAGGAAGGCCAGAAAGTGGTCCAAATATCCACTTGCAGATTCTACAAAAAGAGTGTTTGAAAGCTGAACTATGAAAGCAAGGTTCAACTCTGTGAGTTGAATGCAAACATCACAAAGAAGTTTCTCAGAATGCTTCCGTGTAGTTCTGGGAAGTTTATCCCGTTTCCAACGAAATCCTCAGAGAAGTCCAAATATCCACTTGCAGATTCTACAGAAAGTGTGTTTGGAAACTGCGCCATCTAAAGGAATGTTCAGCTCTGTTAGTTCAATGCAATGATCACTAAGAATTGTCTGTGAATGCTTCCGTTTGGTTTTTAGATGAAGTTATTTCCTTTACTACAGTAGGCCTCAAAGCAGTCCAAATCTCCAATCGCAGATTCTACAAAAAGATTGTTTTCAACCTGCTCTATCTATAGGAATGTTCAACTCTGTGAGTCGAATGCAATCATCACAAAGTAGTTTCTGAGAATGCTTCCATCTAGTTTTTATGTGAAGATTTTCCTTTTCCACCACAGGCCTCAAAGCCCTCCAAATGTCCACTTGCAGATTCTAGAAAAAGAGGGTTTCAGAGCTGCTCTGTCAAGAGGAAAGTTCAATTCTTGAAGTGGAACACAAACATCACAAAGCAGTTTCTGAGAATGCTCCTGTTTAGTTTTTCTGTGAAGATGAACCCGTTTCCAACGAAATCTTCACAGAGGTCCACATATCCACTTGCAGAATCCAAAGAAAGAGAGTTTCAAAACTGCTCCATCAGCAGGATTGTTCACCTCTGTGAGTTGAATGCAGTCATCACAGGAAACATTCTGAGAATGCTTCTGTCTAGGTTTGATGTGAAGATATACCCGTTTCGAAGGAAGGCCACAAAGTGGTCCAAATATCCACTTGCAGATTCTACAAAAAGAGTGTTTGAAAGCTGAACTATGAAAGCAAGGTTCAACTCTGTGAGTTGAATGCAAACATCCAAAGAAGTTTCTCAGAATGCTTCCGTGTAGTTCTGGGAAGTTTAGCCCGTTTCCAACGAAATCCTCAGAGAGGTCCAAATATCCACTTGCAGATTCTACAGAAAGTGTGTTTGGAAACTGCTCCATCTAAAGGAATGTTCAGCTCTGTTAGTTCAATCCAATGATCACTAAGAATTGTCTGTGAATGCTTCCGTTTGGTTTTTAGATGAAGTTATTTCCTTTACTACAGTAGGCCTCAAAGCAGTCCAAATCTCCAATCGCAGATTCTACAAAAAGATTGTTTACAACCTGCTCTATCTATAGGAATGTTCAACTCTGTGAGTCGAATGCAATCATCACAAAGTAGTTTCTGAGAATGCTTCCATCTAGTTTTTATGTGAAGATTTTCCTTTTCCACCGCAGGCCTCAAAGCCCTCCAAATGTCAACTTGCAGATTCTAGAAAAAGAGGGTTTCAGAGCTGCTCTGTCAAGAGGAAAGTTCAATTCCTGAAGTGGAACACAAACATCACAAAGCAGTTTGCTGAGAATGCTTCCTGTTTAGTTTTTCTGTGAAGATGAACCCGTTTCCAACGAAATCTTCACAGAGGTCCACATATCCACTTGCAGAATCCAAAGAAAGAGAGTTTCAAAACTGCTCCATCAGCAGGATTGTTCACCTCTGTGAGTTGAATGCAGTCATCACAGGAAACATTCTGAGAATGCTTCTGTCTAGGTTTGATGTGAAGATATACCCGTTTCGAAGGAAGGCCACAAAGTGGTCCAAATATCCACTTGCAGATTCTACAAAAAGAGTGTTTGAAAGCTGAACTATGAAAGCAAGGTTCAACTCTGTGAGTTGAATGCAAACATCACAAAGAAGTTTCTCACAATGCTTCCGTGTAGTTCTGGGAAGTTTATCCCGTTTCCAACGAAATCCTCAGAGAAGTCCAAATATCCACTTGCAGATTCTACAGAAAGTGTGTTTGGAAACAGCGCCATCTAAAGGAGTGTTCAGCTCTGTTAGTTCAATCCAATGATCACTAAGAATTGTCTGTGAATGCTTCCGTTTGGTTTTTAGATGAAGTTATTTCCTTTACTACAGTAGGCCTCAAAGCAGTCCAAATCTCCAATCACAGATTCTACAAAAAGACTGTTTACAACCTGCTCTATCTATAGGAATGTTCAACTCTGTGAGTCGAATGCAATCATCACAAAGTAGTTTCTGAGAATGCTTCCATCTAGTTATTATGTGAAGATTTTCCTTTTCCACCACAGGCCTCAAAGCCCTCCAAATGTCCACTTGCAGATTCTAGAATAAGAGGGTTTCAGAGCTGCTCTGTCAAGAGGAAAGTTCAATTCCTGAAGTGGAACACAAACATCACAAAGCAGTTTCTGAGAATGCTTCTGTTTAGTTTTTCTGTGAAGATGAACCCGTTTCCAACGAAATCTTCACAGAGGACCACATATTCACTTGCAGAATCCAAAGAAGGAGAGTTTCAAAAGTGCTCCATCAGCAGGATTGTTCACCTCTGTGAGTTGAATGCAGTCATCACAGGAAACATTCTGAGAATGCTTCTGTCTAGGTTTGATGTGAAGATATACCCGTTTCGAAGGAAGACCACAAATGGTCCAAATATCCACTTGCAGATTCTACAAAAAGAGTGTTTGAAAGCTGAACTATGAAAGCAAGGTTCAACTCTGTGAGTTGAATGCAAACATCACAAAGAAGTTTCTCAGAATGCTTCCGTGTAGTTCTGGGAAGTTTATCCCGTTTCCAACGAAATCCTCAGAGAGGTCCAAATATCCACTTGCAGATTCTACAGAAAGTGGGTTTGGAAACTGCTCCATCTAAAGGAATGTTCAGCTCTGTTAGTTCAATCCAATGATCACTAAGAATTGTCTGTGAATGCTTCCGTTTGGTTTTTAGATGAAGTTATTTCCTTTACTACAGTAGGCCTCAAAGCAGTCCAAATCTCCAATCGCAGATTCTACAAAAAGATTGTTTACAACCTGCTCTATCTATAGGAATGTTCAACTCTGTGAGTCGAATGCAATCATCACAAAGTAGTTTCTGAGAATGCTTCCATCTAGTTTTTATGTGAAGATTTTCCTTTTCCACCACAGGCCTCAAAGCCCTCCAAATGTCCACTTGCAGATTCTAGAAAAAGAGGGTTTCAGAGCTGCTCTGTCAAGAGGAAAGTTCAATTCTTGAAGTGGAACACAAACATCACAAAGCAGTTTCTGAGAATGCTTCTGTTTAGTTTTTCTGTGAAGATGAACCCGTTTCCAACGAAATCTTCACAGAGGTCCACATATCCACTTGCAGAATCCAAAGAAAGAGAGTTTCAAAACTGCTCCATCAGCAGGATTGTTCACCTCTGTGAGTTGAATGCAGTCATCACAGGAAACATTCTGAGAATGCTTCTGTCTAGGTTTGATGTGAAGATATACCCGTTTCGAAGGAAGGCCACAAAGTGGTCCAAATATCCACTTGCAGATTCTACAAAAAGAGTGTTTGAAAGCTCAACTATGAAAGCAAGGTTCAACTCTGTGAGTTGAATGCAAACATCACAAAGAAGTTTCTCAGAATGCTTCCCTGTAGTTCTGGGAAGCATATCCCGTTTCCAACGAAATCCTCAGAGAAGTCCAAATATCCACTTGCAGATTCTACAGAAAGTGGGTTTGGAAACTGCTCCATCTAAAGGAATGTTCAGCTCTGTTAGTTCAATGCAATGATCACTAAGAATTGTCTGTGAATGCTTCCGTTTGGTTTTTAGATGAAGTTATTTCCTTTACTACAGTAGGCCTCAAAGCAGTCCAAATCTCCAATCGCAGATTCTACAAAAAGATTGTTTACAACCTGCTCTATCTATAGGAATGTTCAACTCTGTGAGTCGAATGCAATCATCACAAAGTAGTTTCTGAGAAAGCTTCCATCTAGTTTTCATGTGAAGATTTTCCTTTTCCACCACAGGCCTCAAAGCCCTCCAAATGTCCACTTGCAGATTCTAGAAAAAGAGGGTTTCAGAGCTGCTCTGTCAAGAGGAAAGTTCAATTCTTGAAGTGGAACACAAACATCACAAAGTAGTTTCTGAGAATGCTTCTGTTTAGTTTTTCTGTGAAGATGAACCCGTTTCCAACGAAATCTTCACAGAGGACCACATATTCACTTGCAGAATCCAAAGAAGGAGAGTTTCAAAAGTGCTCCATCAGCAGGATTGTTCACCTCTGTGAGTTGAATGCAGTCATCACAGGAAACATTCTGAGAATGCTTCTGTCTAGGTTTGATGTGAAGATATACCCGTTTCGAAGGAAGACCACAAATGGTCCAAATATCCACTTGCAGATTCTACAAAAAGAGTGTTTGAAAGCTGAACTATGAAAGCAAGGTTCAACTCTGTGTGTTGAATGCAAACTTCACAAAGAAGTTTCTCAGAATGCTTCCGTGTAGTTCTGGGAATTTTATCCCGTTTCCATCGAAATCCTCAGAGAAGTCCAAATATCCACTTGCAGATTCTACAGAAAGTGTGTTTGGAAACTGCTCCATCTAAAGGAGTGTTCAGCTCTGTTAGTTCAATCCAATGATCACTAAGAATTGTCTGTGAATGCTTCCGTTTGGTTTTTAGATGAAGTTATTTCCTTTACTACAGTAGGCCTCAAAGCAGTCCAAATCTCCAATCGCAGATTCTACAAAAAGATTGTTTACAACCTGCTCTATCTATAGGAATGTTCAACTCTGTGAGTCGAATGCAATCATCACAAAGTAGTTTCTGAGAATGCTTCCATCTAGTTTTTATGTGAAGATTTTCGTTTTCCACCACAGGCCTCAAAGCCCTCCAAATGTCCACTTGCAGATTCTAGAAAAAGAGGGTTTCAGAGCTGCTCTGTCAAGAGGAAAGTTCAACTCTTGAAGTGGAACACAAACATGATAATGCAGTTTCTGAGAATGCTCCTGTTTAGTTTTTCTGTGAAGATGAACCCGTTTCCAACGAAATCTTCACAGAGGTCCACATATCCACTTGCAGAATCCAAAGAAAGAGAGTTTCAAAACTGCTCCATCAGCAGGATTGTTCACCTCTGTGAGTTGAATGCAGTCATCACAGGAAACATTCTGAGAATGCTTCTGTCTAGGTTTGATGTGAAGATATACCCGTTTCGAAGGAAGGCCACAATGTGGTCCTAATATCCACTTGCAGATTCTACAGAAAGAGTGTTTCAAAGCTGAACTATGAAAGCAAGGTTCAACTCTGTGAGTTGAATGCAAACATCACAAAGAAGTTTCTCAGAATGCTTCCGTGTAGTTCTGGGAAGTTTATCCCGTTTCCAACGAAATCCTCAGAGAGGTACAAATATCCACTTGCAGATTCTACAGAAAGTGTGTTTGGAAACTGCGCCATCTAAAGGAATATTCAGCTCTGTTAGTTCAATCCAATGATCACTAAGAATTGTCTGGGAATGCTTCCGTTTGGTTTTTAGATGAAGTTATTTCCTTTACTACAGTAGGCCTCAAAGCAGTCCAAATCTCCAATCGCAGATTCTACAAAAAGATTGTTTACAACCTGCTCTATCTATGGGAATGTTCAACTCTGTGAGTCGAATGCAATTATCACAAAGTAGTTTCTGAGAATGCTTCCATCTAGTTTTTATGTGAAGATTTTCCTTTTCCACCACAGGCCTCAAAGCCCTCCAAATGTCCACTTGCAGATTCTAGAAAAAGAGGGTTTCAGAGCTGCTCTGTCAAGAGGAAAGTTCAATTCTTGAAGTGGAACACAAACATCACAAAGTAGTTTCTGAGAATGCTTCTGTTTAGTTTTTCTGTGAAGATGAACCCGTTTCCAACGAAATCTTCACAGAGGTCCACATATCAACTTGCAGAATCCAAAGAAAGAGAGTTTCAAAAGTGCTCCATCAACAGGATTGTTCACCTCTGTGAGTTGAATGCAGTCATCACAGGAAACATTCTGAGAATGCTTCTGTCTAGGTTTGATGTGAAGATATACCCGTTTCGAAGGAAGGCCACAAAGTGCTCCAAATATCCACTTGCAGATTCTACAAAAAGAGTGTTTGAAAGCTGAACTATGAAAGCAAGTTTCAACTCTGTGAGTTGAATGCAAACATCACAAAGAAGTTTCTCAGCATGCTTCCGTGTATTTCTGGGAAGTTTATCCCGTTTCCAACGAAATCCTCAGAGAGGTCCAAATATCCACTTGCAGATTCTACAGAAAGTGTGTTTGGAAACTGCGCCATCTAAAGCAATGTTCAGCTCTGTTAGTTCAATGCAATGATCACTAAGAATTGTCTGTGAATGCTTCCGTTTGGTTTTTAGATGAAGTTATTTCCTTTACTACAGTAGGCCTCAAAGCAGTCCAAATCTCCAATCGCAGATTCTACAAAAAGATTGTTTACAACCTGCTCTATCTATAGGAATGTTCAACTCTGTGAGTCGAATGCAATCATCACAAAGTAGTTTCTGAGAATGCTTCCATCTAGTTTTTATGTGAAGATTTTCCTTTTGCACCACAGGCCTCAAAGCCCTCCAAATGTCCACTTGCAGATTCTAGAAAAAGAGGGTTTCAGAGCTGCTCTGTCAAGAGGAAAGTTCAATTCTTGATGTGGAACACAAACATCACAAAGCAGTTTCTGAGAATGCTCCTGTTTAGTTTTTCTGTGAAGATGAACCCGTTTCCAACGAAATCTTCACAGAGGTCCACATATCCACTTGCAGAATCCAAAGAAAGAGAGTTTCAAAACTGCTCCATCAGCAGGATTGTTCACCTCTGTGAGTTGAATGCAGTCATCACAGGAAACATTCTGAGAATGCTTCTGTCTAGGTTTGATGTGAAGATGTACCCGTTTCAAAGGAAGGCCACAAAGTGGTCCAAATATCCACTTGCAGATTCTACAAAAAGAGTGTTTGAAAGCTGAACTATGAAAGCAAGGTTCAACTCTGTGAGTTGAATGCAAACATCAGAAATATGATTCTCACAATGCTTCCGTGTAGTTCTGGGAAGTTTATCCCGTTTCCAACGAAATCCTCAGAGAAGTCCAAATATCCACTTGCAGATTCTGCAGAAAGTGTGTTTGGAAACTGCTCCATCTAAAGGAATGTTCAGCTCTGTTAGCTCAATCCAATGATCACTAAGAATTATCTGTGAATGCTTCCGTTTGGTTTTTAGATGAAGTTATTTCCTTTACTACAGTAGGCCTCAAAGCAGTCCAAATCTCCAATCGCAGATTCTACAAAAACATTGTTTACAACCTGCTCTATCTATAGTAATGTTCAACTCTGTGAGTCGAATGCAATCATCACAAAGTAGTTTCTGAGAATGCTTCCATCTAGTTTTTATGGGAAGATTTTCCTTTTCCACCACAGGCCTCAAAGCCCTCCAAATGTCCACTTGCAGATTCTAGAAAAAGAGGGTTTCAGAGCTGCTCTGTCAAGAGGAAAGTTCAATTCTTGAAGTGGAACACAAATATCACAAAGCAGTTTCTGAGAATGCTCCTGTTTAGTTTTTCTGTGAAGATGAACACGTTTCCAACGAAATCTTCACAGAGGTCCACATATCCACTTGCAGAATCCAAAGAAAGAGAGTTTCAAAACTGCTCCATCAGCAGGATTGTTCACCTCTGTGAGTTGAATGCAGTCATCACAGGAAACATTCTGAGAATGCTTCTGTCTAGGTTTGATGTGAAGATATACCCGTTTCGAAGGAAGGCCAGAAAGTGGTCCAAATATCCACTTGCAGATTCTACAAAAAGAGTGTTTGAAAGCTGAACTATGAAAGCAAGGTTCAACTCTGTGAGTTGAATGCAAACATCACAAAGAAGTTTCTCAGAATGCTTCCGTGTAGTTCTGGGAAGTTTATCCCGTTTCCAACGAAATCCTCAGAGAAGTCCAAATATCCACTTGCAGATTCTACAGAAAGTGTGTTTGGAAACTGCTCCATCTAAAGGAATGTTCAGCTCTGTTAGTTCAATCAAATGATCACTAAGAATTGTCTGTGAATGCTTCCGTTTGGTTTTTAGATGAAGTTATTTCCTTTACTACAGTAGGCCTCAAAGCAGTCCAAATCTCCAATCGCAGATTCTACAAAAAGATTGTTTACAACCTGCTCTATCTATAGGAATGTTCAACTCTGTGAGTCGAATGCAATCATCACAAAGTAGTTTCTGAGAATGCTTCCATCTAGTTTTTATGTGAAGATTTTCCTTTTCCACCACAGGCCTCAAAGCCCTCCAAATGTCCACTTGCAGATTCTAGAATAAGAGGGTTTCAGAGCTGCTCTGTCAAGAGGAAAGTTCAATTCCTGAAGTGGAACACAAACATCACAAAGCAGTTTCTGAGAATGCTCCTGTTTACTTTTTCTGTGAAGATGAACCCGTTTCCAACGAAATCTTCACAGAGGTCCACATATCCACTTGCAGAATCCAAAGAAAGAGAGTTTCAAAACTGCTCCATCAGCAGGATTGTTCACCTTTGTGAGTTGAATGCAGTCATCACAGGAAACATTCTGAGAATGCTTCTGTCTAGGTTTGATGTGAAGATATACCCGTTTCGAAGGAAGGCCACAAAGTGGTCCAAATATCCACTTGCAGATTCTACAAAAAGAGTGTTTGAAAGCTGAACTATGAAAGCAAGGTTCAACTCTGTGAGTTGAATGCAAACATCACAAAGAAGTTTCTCAGAATACTTCCGTGTAGTTCTGGGAAGTTTATCCCGTTTCCAACGAAATCCTCAGAGAGGTCCAAATATCCACTTGCAGATTCTACAGAAAACGTGTTTGGAAACTGCGCCATCTAAGGGAATGTTCAGCTCTGTTAGTTCAATCCAATGATCACTAAGAATTTTCTGTGAATGCTTCCGTTTGGTTTTTAGATGAAGTTATTTCCTTTACTACAGTAGGCCTCAAAGCAGTCCAAATCTCCAATCGCAGATTCTACAAAAAGATTGTTTACAACCTGCTCTATCTATAGGAATGTTCAACTCTGTGAGTCGAATGCAATCATCACAAAGGAGTTTCTGAGAATGCTTCCATCTAGTTTTTATGTGAAGATTTTCCTTTTCCACCACAGGCCTCAAAGCCCTCCAAATGTCCACTTGCAGATTCTAGCAAAAGAGGGTTTCAGAGCTGCTCTGTCAAGAGGAAAGTTCAATTCTTGAAGTGGAACACAAACATCACAAAGCAGTTTCTGAGAATGCTCCTGTTAATTTTTCTGTGAAGATGAACCCGTTTCCAACGAAATCTTCACAGAGGTCCACATATCCACTTGCAGAATCCAAAGAAAGAGAGTTTCAAAACTGCTCCATCAGCAGGATTGTTCACCTCTGTGAGTTGAATGCAGTCATCACAGGAAACATTCTGAGAATGCTTCTGTCTAGGTTTGATGTGAAGATATACCCTTTTCAAAGGAAGGCCACAAAGTGGTCCAAATATCCACTTGCAGATTCTACAAAAAGAGTGTTTGAAAGCTGAACTATGAAAGCAAGGTTCAACTCTGTGAGTTGAATGCAAACATCACAAAGAAGTTTCTCACAATGCTTCCGTGTAGTTCTGGGAAGTATATCCCGTTTCCAACGACATCCTCAGAGAAGTCCAAATATCCACTTGCAGATTCTACAGAAAGTGTGTTTGGAAACTGCTCCATCTAAAGGAATGTTCAGCTCTGTTAGTTCAATCCAATGATCACTAAGAATTGTCTGTGAATGCTTCCGTTTGGTTTTTAGATGAAGTTATTTCCTTTACTACAGTAGGCCTCAAAGCAGAACAAATCTCCAATCGCAGATTCTACAAAAAGATTGTTTACAACCTGCTCTATCTATAGGAATGTTCAACTCTGTGAGTCGAATGCAATCATCACAAAGTAGTTTCTGAGAATGCTTCCATCTAGTTTTTATGTGAAGATTTTCCTTTTCCACCACAGGCCTCAAAGCCCTCCAAATGTCCACTTGCAGATTCTAGAATAAGAGGGTTTCAGAGCTGCTCTGTCAAGAGGAAAGTTCAATTCCTGAAGTGGAACACAAACATCACAAAGCAGTTTCTGAGAATGCTTCTGTTTAGTTTTTCTGTGAAGATGAACCCGTTTCCAACGAAATCTTCACAGAGGTCCACATATCCACTTGCAGAATCCAAAGAAAGAGAGTTTCAAAACTGCTCCATCAGCAGGATTGTTCACCTCTGTGAGTTGAATGCAGTCATCACAGGAAACATTCTGAGAATGCTTCTGTCTAGGTTTGATGTGAAGATATACCCGTTTCGAAGGAAGACCACAAAGTGGTCCAAATATCCACTTGCAGATTCTACAAAAAGAGTGTTTGAAAGCTGAACTACGAAAGCAAGGTTCAACTCTGTGAGTTGAATGCAAACATCACAAAGAAGTTTCTCACAATGCTTCCCTGTAGTTCTGGGAAGTTTATCCCGTTTCCAACGAAATCCTCAGAGAAGTCCAAATATCCACTTGCAGATTCTACAGAAAGTGGGTTTGGAAACTGCTCCATCTAAAGGAATGTTCAGCTCTGTTAGTTCAATCCAATGATCACTAAGAATTGTCTGTGAATGCTTCCGTTTGGTTTTTAGATGAAGTTATTTCCTTTACTACAGTAGGCCTCAAAGCAGTCCAAATCTCCAATCGCAGATTCTACAAAAAGATTGTTTACAACCTGCTCTATCTATAGGAATGTTCAACTCTGTGAGTCGAATGCAATCATCACAAAGTAGTTTCTGAGAATGCTTCCATCTAGTTTTTATGTGAAGATTTTCCTTTTCCACCACAGGCCTCAAAGCCCTCCAAATGTCCACTTGCAGATTCTAGAATAAGAGGGTTTCAGAGCTGTTCTGTCAAGAGGAAAGTTCAATTCCTGAAGTGGAACACAAACATCACAAAGCAGTTTCTGAGAATGCTTCTGTTTAGTTTTTCTGTGAAGATGAACCCGTTTCCAACGAAATCTTCACAGAGGTCCACATATCCACTTGCAGAATCCAAAGAAAGAGAGTTTCAAAACTGCTCCATCAGCAGGATTGTTCACCTCTGTGAGTTGAATGCAGTCATCACAGGAAACATTCTGAGAATGCTTCTGTCTAGGTTTGATGTGAAGATATACCCGTTTCCAAGGAAGGCCACAAAGTGGTCCAAATATCCACTTGCAGATTCTACAAAAGGAGTGTTTGAAAGCTGAACTATGAAAGCAAGGTTCAACTCTGTGAGTTGAATGCAAACATCACAAAGAAGTTTCTCACAATGCTTCCGTGTAGTTCTGGGAAGTTTATCCAGTTTCCAACGAAATCCTCAGAGAAGTCCAAATATCCACTTGCAGATTCTACAGAAAGTGGGTTTGGAAACTGCTCCATCTAAAGGAATGTTCAGCTCTGTTAGTTCAAACCAATGATCACTAAGAATTGTCTGTGAATGCTTCCGTTTGGTTTTTAGATGAAGTTATTTCCTTTACTACAGTAGGCCTCAAAGCAGTCCAAATCTCCAATCGCAGATTCTACAAAAAGATTGTTTACAACCTGCTCTATCTATAGGAATGTTCAACTCTGTGAGTCGAATGCAATCATCACAAAGTAGTTTCTGAGAATGCTTCCATCTAGTTTTTATGTGAAGATTTTCCTTTTCCACCACAGGCCTCAAAGCCCTCCAAATGTCCACTTGCAGATTCTAGAATAAGAGGGTTTCAGAGCTGCTCTGTCAAGAGGAAAGTTCAATTCCTGAAGTGGAACACAAACATCACAATGCAGTTTCTGAGAATGCTCCTGTTTAGTTTTTCTGTGAAGATGAACCCGTTTCCAACGAAATCTTCACAGAGGTCCACATATCCACCTGCAGAATCCAAAGAAAGAGAGTTTCAAAACTGCTCCATCAGCAGGATTGTTCAGCTCTGTGAGTTGAATGCAGTCATCACAGGAAACATTCTGAGAATGCTTCTGTCTAGGTTTGATGTGAAGATATACCCGTTTCGAAGGAAGGCCACAAAGTGGTCCAGATATCCACTTGCAGATTCTACAAAAAGAGTGTTTGAAAGCTGAACTATGAAAGCCAGGTTCAACTCTGTGAGTTGAATGCAAACATCACAAAGAAGTTTCTCAGAATACTTCCGTGTATTTCTGGGAAGTTTACCCCGTTTCCAACTTAATCCTCAGAGAGGTCCAAATATCCACTTGCAGATTCTACAGAAAGTGTGTTTGGAAAATGCTCCATCTAAAGGAATGTTCAGCTCTGTTAGTTCAATCCAATGATCACTAAGAATTGTCTGTGAATGCTTCCGTTTGGTTTTTAGATGAAGTTATTTCCTTTACTACAGTAGGCCTCAAAGCAGTCCAAATCTCCAATCGCAGATTCTACAAAAAGATTGTTTACAACCTGCTCTATCTATAGGAATGTTCAACTCTGTGAGTCGAATGCAATCATCACAAAGTAGTTTCTGAGAATGCTTCCATCTAGTTTTTATGTGAAGATTTTCCTTTTCCACCACAGGCCTCAAAGCCCTCCAAATGTCCACTTGCAGATTCTAGAATAAGAGGGTTTCAGAGCTGCTCTGTCAAGAGGAAAGTTCAATTCCTGAAGTGGAACACAAACATCACAAAGCAGTTTCTGAGAATGCTTCTGTTTAGTTTTTCTGTGAAGATGAACCCGTTTCCAACGAAATCTTCACAGAGGTCCACATATCCACTTGCAGAATCCAAAGAAAGAGAGTTTCAAAACTGCTCCATCAGCAGGATTGTTCACCTCTGTGAGTTGAATGCAGTCATCACAGGAAACATTCTGAGAATGCTTCTGTCTAGGTTTGATGTGAAGATATACCCGTTTCGAAGGAAGGCCACAAAGTGGTCCAAATATCCACTTGCAGATTCTACAAAAAGAGTGTTTGAAAGCTGAACTATGAAAGCAAGGTTCAACTGTGTGAGTTGAATGCAAACATCACAAAGAAGTTTCTCAGAATGCTTCCCTGTAGTTCTGGGAAGTTTATCCCGTTTCCAACGAAATCCTCAGAGAAGTCCAAATATCCACTTGCAGATTCTACAGAAAGTGGGTTTGGAAACTGCTCCATCTAAAGGAATGTTCAGCTCTGTTAGTTCAATGCAATGATCACTAAGAATTGTCTGTGAATGCTTCCGTTTGGTTTTTAGATGAAGTTATTTCCTTTACTACAGTAGGCCTCAAAGCAGTCCAAATCTCCAATCGCAGATTCTACAAAAAGATTGTTTACAACCTGCTCTATCTATAGGAATGTTCAACTCTGTGAGTCGAATGCAATCATCACAAAGTAGTTTCTGAGAATGCTTCCATCTAGTTTTTATGTGAAGATTTTCCTTTTCCACCACAGGCCTCAAAGCCCTCCAAATGTCCACTTGCAGATTCTAGAAAAAGAGGGTTTCAGAGCTGCTCTGTCAAGAGGAAAGTTCAATTCCTGAAGTGGAACACAAACATCACAAAGCAGTTTCTGAGAATGCTCCTGTTTAGTTTTTCTGTGAAGATGAACCCGTTTCCAACGAAATCTTCACAGAGGTCCACATATCCACTTGCAGAATCCAAAGAAAGGGAGTTTCAAAACTGCTCCATCAACAGGATTGTTCACCTCTGTGAGTTGAATGCAGTCGTCACAGGAAACATTCTGAGAATGCTTCTGTCTAGGTTTGATGTGAAGATTTACCCGTTTCGAAGGAAGGCCACAAAGTGCTCCTAATATCCACTTGCAGATTCTACAAAAAGAGTGTTTCAAAGCTGAACTATGAAAGCAAGGTTCAACTCTGTGAGTTGAATGCAAACATCACAAAGAAGTTTCTCAGAATGCTTCCGTGTAGTTCTGGGAAGTTTATCCCGTTTCCAACGAAATCCTCAGAGAGGTCCAAATATCCAGTTGCAGAGTCTACAGAAAGTGTGTTTGGAAACTGCGCCATCTAAAGGAATGTTCAGCTCTGTTAGTTCAATCCAATGATCACTAAGAATTGTCTGTGAATGCTTCCGTTTGGTTTTTAGATGAAGTTATTTCCTTTACTACAGTAGGCCTCAAAGCAGTCCAAATCTCCAATCGCAGATTCTACAAAAAGATTGTTTTCAACCTGCTCTATCTATAGGAATGTTCAATTCTGTGAGTCGAATGTAATCATCACAAAGTAGTTTCTGAGAATGCTTCCATCTAGTTTTTATGTGAAGATTTTCCTTTTCCACCACAGGCCTCAAAGCCCTCCAAATGTCCACTTGCAGATTCTAGAAAAAGAGGGTTTCAGAGCTGCTCTGTCAAGAGGAAAGTTCAATTCTTGAAGTGGAACACAAACATCACAAAGCAGTTTCTGAGAATGCTCCTGTTTAGTTTTTCTGTGAAGATGAACCCGTTTCCAACGAAATCTTCACAGAGGTCCACATATCCACTTGCAGAATCCAAAGAAAGAGAGTTTCAAAACTGCTCCAACAGCAGGATTGTTCACCTCTGTGAGTTGAATGCAGTCATCACAGGAAACATTCTGAGAATGCTTCTGTCTCGGTTTGATGTGAAGATATACCCGTTTCGAAGGAAGGCCACAAAGTGGTCCAAATATCCACTTGCAGATTCTACAAAAAGAGTGTTTGAAAGCTGAACTATGAAAGCAAGGTTCAACTCTGTGAGTTGAATGCAAACATCACAAAGAAGTTTCTCACAATGCTTCCGTGTAGTTCTGGGAAGTTTATCCCGTTTCCAACGAAATCCTCAGAGAGCTCCAAATATCCACTTGCAGATTCTACAGAAAGTGTGTTTGGAAACTGCGCCATCTAAAGGAATGTTCAGCTCTGTTTGTTCAATCCAATGATCACTAAGAATTGTCTGTGAATGCTTCCGTTTGGTTTTTAGATGAAGTTATTTCCTTTACTACAGTAGGCCTCAAAGCAGTCCAAATCTCCAATCGCAGACTCTACAAAAAGATTGTTTACAACCTGCTCTATCTATAGGAATGTTCAACTCTGTGAGTCGAATGCAATCATCACAAAGTAGTTTCTGAGAATGCTTCCATCTAGTTTTTATGTGAAGATTTTCCTTTTCCACCACAGGCCTCAAAGCCCTCCAAATGTCCACTTGCAGATTCTAGAAAAAGAGGGTTTCAGAGCTGCTCTGTCAAGAGGAAAGTTCAATTCTTGAAGTGGAACACAAACATCACAAAGCAGTTTCTGAGAATGCTTCTGTTTAGTTTTTCTGTGAAGATGAACCCGTTTCCAACGAAATCTTCACAGAGGTCCACATATCAACTTGCAGAATCCAAAGAAAGAGAGTTTCAAAACTACTCCATCAACAGGATTGTTCACCTCTGTGAGTTGAATGCAGTCATCACAGGAAACATTCTGAGAATGCTTCTGTCTAGGTTTGATGTGAAGATATACCCGTTTCGAAGGAAGGCCACAAAGTGGTCCAAATATCCACTTGCAGATTCTACAAAAAGAGTGTTTGAAAGCTGAACTATGAAAGCAAGGTTCAACTCTGTGAGTTGAATGCAAACATCACAAAGAAGTTTCTCAGAATGCTTCCGTGTAGTTCTGGGAAGTTTATCCCGTTTCCAACGAAATCCTCAGAGAGGTCCAAATATCCACTTGCAGATTCTACAGAAAGTGTGTTTGGAAACTGCTCCATCTAAAGGAATGTTCAGCTCTGTTAGTTCAATCCAATGATCACTAAGAATTGTCTGTGAATGCTTCCGTTTGGTTTTTAGATGAAGTTATTTCCTTTACTACAGTAGGCCTCAAAGCAGTCCAAATCTCCAATCGCAGATTCTACAAAAAGATTGTTTACAACCTGCTCTATCTATAGGAATGTTCAACTCTGTGAGTCGAATGCAATCATCACAAAGGAGTTTCTGAGAATGCTTCCATCTAGTTTTTATGTGAAGATTTTCCTTTTCCACCACAGGCCTCAAAGCCCTCCAAATGTCCACTTGCAGATTCTAGAAAAAGAGGGTTTCAGAGCTGCTCTGTCAAGAGGAAAGTTCAATTCTTGAAGTGGAACACAAACATCACAAAGCAGTTTCTGAGAATGCTCCTGTTTAGTTTTTCTGTGCAGTTGAACCCGTTTCCAACGAAATCTTCACAGAGGTCCACATATCCACTTGCAGAATCCAAAGAAAGAGAGTTTCAAAACTGCTCCATCAATAGGATTGTTCACCTCTGTGAGTTGAATGCAGTCATCACAGGAAACATTCTGAGAATGCTTCTGTCTAGGTTTGATGTGAAGATATACCCGTTTCGAAGGAAGGCCACAAAGTGGTCCAAATATCCACTTGCAGATTCTACAAAAAGAGTGTTTGAAAGCTGAACTATGAAAGCAAGGTTCAACTCTGTGAGTTGAATGCAAACATCACAAAGAAGTTTCTCACAATGCTTCCGTGTAGTTCTGGGAAGTTTAGCCCGTTTCCAACGAAATCCTCAGAGAGGTCCAAATATCCAGTGGCAGATTCTACAGAAAGTGTGTTTGGAAACTGCGCCATCGAAAGGAATGTTCAGCTCTGTTAGTTCAATCCAATGATCACTAAGAATTGTTTGTGAATGCTTGCCGTTTGGTTTTTAGATGAAGTTATTTCCTTTACTACAGTAGGTCTCAAAGCAGTCCAAATCTCCAATCGCAGATTCTACAAAAAGATTGTTTACAACCTGCTCTATCTATAGGAATGTTCAACTCTGTGAGTCGAATGCAATCATCACAAAGTAGTTTCTGAGAATGCTTCCATCTAGTTTTTATGTGAAGATTTTCCTTTTCCACCACAGGCCTCAAAGCCCTCCAAATGTCCACTTGCAGATTCTAGAAAAAGAGGGTTTCAGAGCTGCTCTTTCAAGAGGAAAGTTCAATTCTTGAAGTGGAACACAAACATCACAAAGCAGTTTCTGAGAATGCTCCTGTTTAGTTTTTCTGTGAAGATGAACCCGTTTCCAACGAAATCTTCACAGAGTTCCACATATCCACTTGCAGAATCCAAAGAAAGGGAGTTTCAAAACGGCTCCATCAACAGGATTGTTCACCTCTGTGAGTTGAATGCAGTCATCACAGGAAACATTCTGAGAATGCTTCTGTCTAGGTTTGATGTGAAGATATACCCGTTTCGAAGGAAGGCCACAAAGTGGTCCAAATATCCACTTCCAGATTCTACAAAAAGAGTGTTTGAAAGCTGAACTATGAAAGCAAGGTTCAACTCTGTGAGTTGAATGCAAACATCACAAAGAAGTTTCTCAGAATGCTTCCGTGTAGTTCTGGGAAGTTTATCCCGTTTCCAACGAAATCCTCAGAGAGGTCCAAATATCCACTTGCAGATTCTACAGAAAGTGTGTTTGGAAACTGCTCCATCTAAAGGAATGTTCAGCTCTGTTAGTTCAATCCAATGATCACTAAGAATTGTCTGTGAATGCTTCCGTTTGGTTTTTAGATGAAGTTATTTCCTTTACTACAGTAGGCCTCAAAGCAGTCCAAATCTCCAATCGCAGATTCTACAAAAAGATTGTTTACAACCTGCTCTATCTATAGGAATGTTCAACTCTGTGAGTCGAATGCAATCATCACAAAGTAGTTTCTGAGAATGCTTCCATCTAGTTTTTATGTGAAGATTTTCCTTTTCCACCACAGGCCTCAAAGCCCTCCAAATGTCCACTTGCAGATTCTAGAATAAGAGGGTTTCAGAGCTGCTCTGTCAAGAGGAAAGTTCAATTCCTGAAGTGGAACACAAACATCACAAAGCAGTTTCTGAGAATGCTTCTGTTTAGTTTTTCTGTGAAGATGAACCCGTTTCCAACGAAATCTTCACAGAGGTCCACATATCCACTTGCAGAATCCAAAGAAAGAGAGTTTCAAAACTGCTCCATCAACAGGATTGTTCACCTCTGTGAGTTGAATGCAGTCATCACAGGAAACATTCTGAGAATGCTTCTGTCTAGGTTTGATGTGAAGATATACCCGTTTCGAAGGAAGGCCACAAAGTGGTCCAAATATCCACTTGCAGATTCTACAAAAAGAGTGTTTGAAAGCTGAACTATGAAAGCAAGGTTCAACTCTGTGAGTTGAATGCAAACATCACAAAGAAGTTTCTCACAATGCTTCCGTGTAGTTCTGGGAAGTTTATCCCGTTTCCAACGAAATCCTCAGAGAGGTCCAAATATCCACTTGCAGATTCTACAGAAAGTGTGTTTGGAAACTGCTCCATCTAAAGGAATGTTCAGCTCTGTTAGTTCAATCCAATGATCACTAAGAATTGTCTGTGAATGCTTCCGTTTGGTTTTTAGATGAAGTTATTTCCTTTACTACAGTAGACCTCAAAGCAGTCCAAATCTCCAATCGCAGATTCTACAAAAAGATTGTTTACAACCTGCTCTATCTATAGGAATGTTCAACTCTGTGAGTCGAATGCAATCATCACAAAGTAGTTTCTGAGAATGCTTCCATCTAGTTTTTATGTGAAGATTTTCCTTTTCCACCACAGGCCTCAAAGCCCTCCAAATGTCCACTTGCAGATTCTAGAATAAGAGGGTTTCAGAGCTGCTCTGTCAAGAGGAAAGTTCAATTCCTGAAGTGGAACACAAACATCACAAAGCAGTTTCTGAGAATGCTTCTGTTTAGTTTTTCTGTGAAGATGAACCCGTTTCCAACGAAATCTTCACAGAGGTCTACATATCCAATTGCAGAATCCAAAGAAAGAGAGTTTCAAAACTGCACCATCAACAGGATTGTTCACCTCTGTGAGTTGAATGCAGTCATCACAGGAAACATTCTGAGAATGCTTCTGTCTAGGTTTGATGTGAAGATATACCCGTTTCGAAGGAAGGCCACAAAGTGGTCCAAATATCCACTTGCAGATTCTACAAAAAGAGTGTTTGAAAGCTGAACTATGAAAGCAAGGTTCAACTCTGTGAGTTGAATGGAAACATCACAAAGAAGTTTCTCAGAATGCTTCCGTGTAGTTCTGGGAAGTTTATCCCGTTTCCAACGAAATCCTCAGAGAAGTCCAAATATCCACTTGCAGATTCTACAGAAAGTGTGTTTGGAAACTGCTCCATCTAAAGGAATGTTCAGCTCTGTTAGTTCAATCCAATGATCACTAAGAATTGTCTGTGAATGCTTCCGTTTGGTTTTTAGATGAAGTAATTTCCTTTACTACAGTAGGCCTCAAAGCAGTCCAAATCTCCAATCGCAGATTCTACAAAAAGATTGTTTACAACCTGCTCTATCTATAGGAATGTTCAACTCTGTGAGTCGAATGCAATCATCACAAAGTAGTTTCTGAGAATGCTTCCATCTAGTTTTTATGTGAAGATTTTCCTTTTCCACCACAGGCCTCAAAGCCCTCCAAATGTCCACTTGCAGATTCTAGAATAAGAGGGTTTCAGAGCTGCTCTGTCAAGAGGAAAGTTCAATTCCTGAAGTGGAACACAAACATCACAAAGCAGTTTCTGAGAATGCTTCTGTTTAGTTTTTCTGTGAAGATGAACCCGTTTCCAACGAAATCTTCACAGAGGTCCACATATCAACTTGCAGAATCCAAAGAAAGAGAGTTTCAAAACTGCTCCATCAACAGGATTGTTCACCTCTGTGAGTTGAATGCAGTCATCACAGGAAACATTCTGAGAATGCTTCTGTCTAGGTTTGATGTGAAGATATACCCGTTTCGAAGGAAGGCCACAAAGTGGTCCAAATATCCACTTGCAGATTCTACAAAAAGAGTGTTTGAAAGCTGAACTATGAAAGCAAGGTTCAACTCTGTGAGTTGAATGCAAACATCACAAAGAAGTTTCTCAGCATGCTTCCGTGTAGTTCTGGGAAGTTTATCCCGTTTCCAACGAAATCCTCAGAGAGGTCCAAATATCCACTTGCAGATTCTACAGAAAGTGGGTTTGGAAACTGCGCCATCTAAAGCAATGTTCAGCTCTGTTAGTTCAATGCAATGATCACTAAGAATTGTCTGTGAATGCTTCCGTTTGGTTTTTAGATGAAGTTATTTCCTTTACTACAGTAGGCCTCAAAGCAGTCCAAATCTCCAATCGCACATTCTACAAAAAGATTGTTTACAACCTGCTCTATCTATAGGAATGTTCAACTCTGTGAGTCGAATGCAATCATCACAAAGTAGTTTCTGAGAATGCTTCCATCTAGTTTTTATGTGAAGATTTTCCTTTTCCACCACAGGCCTCAAAGCCCTCCAAATGTCCACTTGCAGATTCTAGAAAAAGAGGGTTTCAGAGCTGCTCTGTCAAGAGGAAAGTTCAATTCTTGAAGTGGAACACAAACATCACAAAGTAGTTTCTGAGAATGCTTCTGTTTAGTTTTTCTGTGAAGATGAACCCGTTTCCAACGAAATCTTCACAGAGGTCCACATATCCACTTGCAGAATCCAAAGAAAGAGAGTTTCAAAACTACTCCATCAGCAGGATTGTTCACCTCTGTGAGTTGAATGCAGTCATCACAGGAAACATTCTGAGAATGCTTCTGTCTAGGTTTGATGTGAAGATATACCCGTTTCCAAGGAAGGCCACAAAGTGGTCCAAATATCCACTTGCAGAATCTACAAAAGGAGTGTTTGAAAGCTGAACTATGAAAGCAAGGTTCAACTCTGTGAGTTGAATGCAAACATCACAAAGAAGGTTCTCACAATGCTTCCGTGTAGTTCTGGGAAGTTTAGCCCTTTTCCAACGAAATCCTCAGAGAGGTCCAAATATCCACTTGCAGATTCTACAGAAAGTGTGTTTGGAAACTGCGCCATCTAAAGGAATGTTCAGCTCTGTTAGTTCAATGCAATGATCACTAAGAATTGTCTGTGAATGCTTCCGTTTGGTTTTTAGATGAAGTTATTTCCTTTACTACAGTAGGCCTCAAAGCAGTCCAAATCTCCAATCGCAGATTCTACAAAAAGATTGTTTACAACCTGCTCTATCTATAGGAATGTTCAACTCTGTGAGTCGAATGCAATCATCACAAAGTAGTTTCTGAGAATGCTTCCATCTAGTTTTTATGTGAAGATTTTCCTTTTCCACCACAGGCCTCAAAGCCCTCCAAATGTCCACTTGCAGATTCTAGAAAAAGAGGGTTTCAGAGCTGCTCTGTCAAGAGGAAAGTTCAATTCTTGAAGTGGAACACAAACAAACACAAAGTAGTTTCTGAGAATGCTTCTGTTTAGTTTTTCTGTGAAGATGAACCCGTTTCCAACGAAATCTTCACAGAGGTCCACATATCAACTTGCAGAATCCAAAGAAAGAGAGTTTCAAAAGTGCTCCATCAACAGGATTGTTCACCTCTGTGAGTTGAATGCAGTCATCACAGGAAACATTCTGAGAATGCTTCTGTCTAGGTTTGATGTGAAGATATACCCGTTTCGAAGGAAGGCCACAAAGTGGTCCAAATATCCACTTGCAGATTCTACAAAAAGAGTGTTTGAAAGCTGAACTATGAAACCAAGGTTCAACTCTGTGAGTTGAATGCAAACATCACAAAGAATTTTCTCACAATGCTTCCGTGTAGTTCTGGGAAGTATATCCCGTTTCCAACGAAATCCTCAGAAAGGTCCAACTATCCACTTGCACATTCTACAGAAAGTGGGTTTGGAAACTGCTCCATCTAAAGGAATGTTCAGCTCTGTTAGTTCAATCCAATGATCACTAAGAATTGTCTGTGAATGCTTCCGTTTGGTTTTTAGATGAAGTTATTTCCTTTACTACAGTAGGCCTCAAAGCAGTCCAAATCTCCAATCGCAGATTCTACAAAAAGATTGTTTACAACCTGCTCTATCTATAGGAATGTTCAACTCTGTGAGTCGAATGCAATCATCACAAAGTAGTTTCTGAGAATGCTTCCATCTAGTTTTTATGTGAAGATTTTCCTTTTCCACCACAGGCCTCAAAGCCCTCCAAATGTCCACTTGCAGATTCTAGAAAAAGAGGGTTTCAGAGCTGCTCTGTCAAGAGGAAAGTTCAATTCTTGAAGTGGAACACAAACATCACAAAGCAGTTTCTGAGAATGCTCCTGTTTAGTTTTTCTGTGAAGATGAACCCGTTTCCAACGAAATCTTCACAGAGGTCCACATATCCACTTGCAGAATCCAAAGAAAGAGAGTTTCAAAACTGCTCCAACAGCAGGATTGTTCACCTCTGTGAGTTGAATGCAGTCATCACAGGAAACATTCTGAGAATGCTTCTGTCTAGGTTTGATGTGAAGATATACCCGTTTCGAAGGAAGGCCACAAAGTGGTCCAAATATCCACTTGCAGATTCTACAAAAAGAGTGTTTGAAAGCTGAACTATGAAAGCAAGGTTCAACTCTGTGAGTTGAATGCAAACATCACAAAGAAGTTTCTCACAATGCTTCCGTGTAGTTCTGGGAAGTTTATCCCGTTTCCAACGAAATCCTCAGAGAAGTCCAAATATCCACTTGCAGATTCTACAGAAAGTGTGTTTGGAAACTGCTCCATCTAAAGGAATGTTCAGCTCTGTTAGTTCAATGCAATGATCACTAAGAATTGTCTGTGAATGCTTCCGTTTGGTTTTTAGATGAAGTTATTTCCTTTACTACAGTAGGCCTCAAAGCAGTCCAAATCTCCAATCGCAGATTCTACAAAAAGATTGTTTACAACCTGCTCTATCTATAGGAATGTTCAACTCTGTGAGTCGAATGCAATCATCACAAAGTAGTTTCTGAGAATGCTTCCATCTAGTTTTATGTGAAGATTTTCCTTTTCCACCACAGGCCTCAAAGCCCTCCAAATGTCCACTTGCAGATTCTAGAAAAAGAGGGTTTCAGAGCTGCTCTGTCAAGAGGAAAGTTCAATTCTTGAAGTGGAACACAAACATCACAAAGCAGTTTCTGAGAATGCTTCTGTTTAGTTTTTCTGTGAAGATGAACCCGTTTCCAACGAAATCTTCAAAGAGGTCCACATATCCACTTGCAGAATCCAAAGAAAGAGAGTTTCAAAACTGCTCCATCAACAGGATTGTTCACCTCTGTGAGTTGAATGCAGTCATCACAGGAAACATTCTGAGAATGCTTCTGTCTAGGTTTGATGTGAAGATATACCCGTTTCGAAGGAAGGCCACAAAGTGGTCCAAATATCCACTTGCAGATTCTACAAAAAGAGTGTTTGAAAGCTGAACAATGAAAGCAAGGTTCAACTCTGTGAGTTGAATGCAAACATCACAAAGAAGTTTCTCAGAATGCTTCCGTGTAGTTCTGGGAAGTTTATCCCCTTTCCAACGAAATCCTCAGAGAGGTCCAAATATCCACTTGCAGATTCTACAGAAAGTGTGTTTGGAAACTGCTCCATCTAAAGGAATGTTCAGCTCTGTTAGTTCAATCCAATGATCACTAAGAATTGTCTGTGAATGCTTCCGTTTGGTTTTTAGATGAAGTTATTTCCTTTACTACAGTAGGCCTCAAAGCAGTCCAAATCTCCAATCGCAGATTCTACAAAAAGATTGTTTACAACCTGCTCTATCTATAGGAGTGTTCAACTCTGTGAGTCGAATGCAATCATCACAAAGTAGTTTCTGAGAATGCTTCCATCTAGTTTTTATGTGAAGATTTTCCTTTTCCACCACAGGCCTCAAAGCCCTCCAAATGTCCACTTGCAGATTCTAGAAAAAGAGGGTTTCAGAGCTGCTCTTTCAAGAGGAAAGTTCAATTCCTGAAGTGGAACACAAACATCACAAAGCAGTTTCTGAGAATGCTTCTGTTTAGTTTTTCTGTGAAGATGAACCCGTTTCCAACGAAATCTTCACAGAGGTCCACATATCCACTTGCAGAATCCAAAGAAAGAGAGTTTCAAAACTGCTCCATCAGCAGGATTGTTCACCTCTGTGAGTTGAATGCAGTCATAACAGGAAACATTCTGAGAATGCTTCTGTCTAGGTTTGATGTGAAGATATACCCTTTTCAAAGGAAGGCCACAAAGTGGTCCAAATATCCACTTGCAGATTCTACAAAAAGAGTGTTTGAAAGCTGAACTATGAAAGCAAGGTTCAACTCTGTGAGTTGAATGCAAACATCACAAAGAAGTTTCTCAAAATGCTTCCGTGTAGTTCTGGGAAGTTTATCCCGTTTCCAACGAAATCCTCAGAGAAGTCCAAATATCCACTTGCAGATTCTACAGAAAGTGTGTTTGGAAACTGCTCCATCTAAAGCAATGTTCAGCTCTGATAGTTCAATGCAATGATCACTAAGAATTGTCTGTGAATGCTTCCGTTTGGTTTTTAGATGAAGTTATTTCCTTTACTACAGTAGGCCTCAAAGCAGTCCAAATCTCCAATCGCAGATTCTACAAAAAGATTGTTTACAACCTGCTCTATCTGTAGGAATGTTCAACTCTGTGAGTCGAATGCAATCATCACAAAGTAGTTTCTGAGAATGCTTCCATCTAGTTTTTATGTGAAGATTTTCCTTTTCCACCACAGGCCTCAAAGCCCTCCAAATGTCAACTTGCAGATTCTAGAATAAGAGGGTTTCAGAGCTGCTCTGTCAAGAGGAAAGTTCAATTCCTGAAGTGGAACACAAACATCACAAAGCAGTTTCTGAGAATGCTTCTGTTTAATTTTTCTGTGAAGATGAACCCGTTTCCAACGAAATCTTCACAGAGGTCCACATATCCACTTGCAGAATGCAAAGAAAGAGAGTTTCAAAACTGCTCCATCAACAGGATTGTTCATCTCTGTGAGTTGAATGCAGTCATCACAGGAAACATTCTGAGAATGCTTCTGTCTAGGTTTGATGTGAAGATATACCCGTTTCGAAGGAAGGCCACAAAGTGGTCCAAATGTCCACTTGCAGATTCTACAAAAAGAGTGTTTGAAAGCTGAACTATGAAAGCAAGGTTCAACTCTGTGAGTTGAATGCAAACATCACAAAGAAGTTTCTCACAATGCTTCCGTGTAGTTCTGGGAAGTTTATCCCGTTTCCAACGAAATCCTCTGAGAAGTCCAAATATCCACTTGCAGATTCTACAGAAAGTGGGTTTGGAAACTGCTCCATCTAAAGGAATGTTCAGCTCTGTTAGTTCAATCCAATGATCACTAAGAATTGTCTGTGAATGCTTCCGTTTGGTTTTTAGATGAAGTTATTTCCTTTACTACAGTAGGCCTCAAAGCAGTCCAAATCTCCAATCGCAGATTCTACAAAAAGATTGTTTACATCCTGCTCTATCTATAGGAATGTTCAACTCTGTGAGTCGAATGCAATCATCACAAAGTAGTTTCTGAGAATGCTTCCATCTAGTTTTTATGAGAAGATTTTCCTTTTCCACCACAGGCCTCAAAGCCCCCCAAATGTCCACTTGCAGATTCTAGAAAAAGAGGGTTTCAGAGCTGCTCTGTCAAGAGGAAAGTTCAATTCTTGAAGTGGAACACAAACATCACAAAGTAGTTTCTGAGAATGCTTCTGTTTAGTTTTTCTGTGAAGATGAACCCGTTTCCAACGAAATCTTCACAGAGGTCCACATATCAACTTGCAGAATCCAAAGAAAGAGAGTTTCAAAACTGGTCCATCAGCAGGATTGTTCACCTCTGTGAGTTGAATGCAGTCATCACAGGAAACATTCTGAGAATGCTTCTGTCTAGGTTTGATGTGAAGATATACCCGTTTCGAAGGAAGGCCACAAAGTGGTCCAAATATCCACTTGCAGATTCTACAAAAAGAGTGTTTGAAAGCTGAACTATGAAAGCAAGGTTCAACTCTGTGAGTTGAATGCAAACATCACAAAGAAGTTTCTCACAATGCTTCCGTGTAGTTCTGGGAAGTTTATCCCGTTTCCAACGAAATCCTCAGACAAGTCCAAATATCCACTTGCAGATTCTACAGAAAGTGTGTTTGGAAACTGCTACATGTAAAGGAGTGTTCAGCTCTGTTAGTTCAATCCAATGATCACTAAGAATTGTCTGTGAATGCTTCCGTTTGGTTTTTAGATGAAGTTATTTCCTTTACTACAGTAGGCCTCAAAGCAGTCCAAATCTCCAATCGCAGATTCTACAAAAAGATTGTTTACAACCTGCTCTATCTATAGGAATGTTCAACTCTGTGAGTCGAATGCAATCATCACAAAGTAGTTTCTGAGAATGCTTCCATCTAGTTTTTATGTGAAGATTTTCCTTTTCCACCACAGGCCTCAAAGCCCTCCAAATGTCCACTTGCAGATTCTAGAATAAGAGGGTTTCAGAGCTGCTCTGTCAAGAGGAAAGTTCAATTCCTGAAGTGGAACACAAACATCACAAAGCAGTTTCTGAGAATGTTTCTGTTTAGTTTTTCTGTGAAGATGAACCCGTTTCCAACGAAATCTTCACAGAGGTCCACATATCCACTTGCAGAATCCAAAGAAGGAGAGTTTAAAAACTGCTCCATCAGCAGGATTGTTCACCTCTGTGAGTTGAATGCAGTCATCACAGGAAACATTCTGAGAATGCTTCTGTCTAGGTTTGATGTGAAGATATACCCGTTTCGAAGGAAGGCCACAAAGTGGTCCAAATATCCACTTGCAGATTCTACAAAAAGAGTGTTTGAAAGCTGAACTATGAAAGCAAGGTTCAACTCTGTGAGTTGAATGCAAACATCACAAAGAAGTTTCTCAGAATGCTTCCGTGTAGTTCTGGGAAGTTTATCCCGTTTCCAACGAAATCCTCAGAGAGGTCCAAATATCCACTTGCAGATTCTACAGAAAGTGTGTTTGGAAACTGCGCCATCTAAAGGAATATTCAGCTCTGTTAGTTCAATGCAATGATCACTAAGAATTGTCTGTGAATGCTTCCGTTTGGTTTTTAGATGAAGTTATTTCCTTTACTACAGTAGGCCTCAAAGCAGTCCAAATCTCCAATCGCAGATTCTACAAAAAGATTGTTTACAACCTGCTCTATGTATAGGAATGTTCAACTCTGTGAGTCGAATGCAATCATCACAAAGTAGTTTCTGAGAATGCTTCCATCTAGTTTTTATGTGAAGATTTTCCTTTTCCACCACAGGCCTCAAAGCCCTCCAAATGTCCACTTGCAGACTCTAGAAAAAGAGGGTTTCAGAGCTGCTCTGTCAAGAGGAAAGTTCAATTCTTGAAGTGGAACACAAACATCACAAAGCAGTTTCTGAGAATGCTTCTGTTTAGTTTTTCTGTGAAGATGAACCCGTTTCCAACGAAATCTTCACAGAGGTCCACATATCCACTTGCAGAATCCAAAGAAAGGGAGTTTCAAAACTGCTCCATCAGCAGGATTGTTCACCTCTGTGAGTTGAATGCAGTCATCACAGGAAACATTCTGAGAATGCTTCTGTCTACGTTTGATGTGAAGATATACCCGTTTCGAAGGAAGGCCACAAAGTGGTCCAAATATCCACTTGCAGATTCTACAAAAAGAGTGTTTGAAAGCTGAACTATGAAAGCAAGGTTCAACTCTGTGAGTTGAATGCAAACATCACAGAGAAGTTTCTCAGAATGCTTCCGTGTAGTTCTGGGAAGTTTATCCCGTTTCCAACGAAATCCTCAGAGAGGTCCAAATATCCACTTGCAGATTCTACAGAAAGTGTGTTTGGAAACTGCGCCATCTAAAGGAATGTTCAGCTCTGTTAGTTCAATGCAATGATCACTAAGAATTGTCTGTGAATGCTTCCGTTTGGTTTTTAGATGAAGTTATTTCCTTTACTACAGTAGGCCTCAAAGCAGTCCAAATCTCCAATCGCAGATTCTACAAAAAGATTGTTTACAACCTGCTCTATCTATAGGAATGTTCAACTCTGTGAGTCGAATGCAATCATCACAAACTAGTTTCTGAGAATGCTTCCATCTAGTTTTTATGTGAAGATTTTCCTTTTCCACCACAGGCCTCAAAGCCCTCCAAATGTCCACTTGCAGATTCTAGAAAAAGAGGGTTTCAGAGCTGCTCTGTCAAGAGGAAAGTTCAATTCTTGAAGTGGAACACAAACATCACAAAGTAGTTTCTGAGAATGCTTCTGTTTAGTTTTTCTGTGAAGATGAACCCGTTTCCAACGAAATCTTCACAGAGGTCCACATATCAACTTGCAGAATACAAAGAAAGAGAGTTTCAAAAGTGCTCCATCAACAGGATTGTTCACCTCTGTGAGTTGAATGCAGTCATCACAGGAAACATTCTGAGAATGCTTCTGTCTAGGTTTGATGTGAAGATATACCCGTTTCGAAGGAAGGCCACAAAGTGGTCCAAATATCCACTTGCAGATTCTACAAAAAGAGTGTTTGAAAGCTGAACTATGAAAGCAAGGTTCAACTCTGTGAGTTGAATGCAAACATCACAAAGAAGTTTCTCAGCATGCTTCCGTGTAGTTCTGGGAAATTTATCCCGTTTCCAACGAAATCCTCAGAGAGGTCCAAATATCCACTTGCAGATTCTACAGAAAGTGTGTTTGGAAACTGCGCCATCTAAAGCAATGTTCAGCTCTGTTAGTTCAATGCAATGATCACTAAGAATTGTCTGTGAATGCTTCCGTTTGGTTTTTAGATGAAGTTATTTCCTTTACTACAGTAGGCCTCAAAGCAGTCCAAATCTCCAATCGCAGATTCTACAAAAAGATTGTTTACAACCTGCTCTATCTATAGGAATGTTCAACTCTGTGAGTCGAATGCAATCATCACAAAGTAGTTTCTGAGAATGCTTCCATCTAGTTTTTATGTGAAGATTTTCCTTTTCCACCACAGGCCTCAAAGTCCTCCAAATGTACACTTGCTGATTCTAGAAAAAGAGGGTTTCAGAGCTGCTCTGTCAAGAGGAAAGTTCAATTCTTGAAGTGGAACACAAACATCACAAAGCAGTTTCTGAGAATGCTCCTGTTTAGTTTTTCTGTGAAGATGAACCCGTTTCCAACGAAATCTTCACAGAGGTCCACATATCCACTTGCAGAATCCAAAGAAAGAGAGTTTCAAAACTGCTCCATCAGCAGGATTGTTCACCTCTGTGAGTTGAATGCAGTCATCACAGGAAACATTCTGAGAATGCTTCCTGTCTAGGTTTGATGTGAAGATATACCCGTTTCGAAGGAAGGCCACAAAGTGGTCCAAATATCCACTTGCAGATTCTACAAAAAGAGTGTTTGAAAGCTGAACTATGAAAGCAAGGTTCAACTCTGTGAGTTGAATGCAAACATCACAAAGAAGTTTCTCAGAATGCTTCCCTGTAGTTCTGGGAAGTTTATCCCGTTTCCAACGAAATCCTCAGAGAAGTCCAAATATCCACTTGCAGATTCTACAGAAAGTGGGTTTGGAAACTGCTCCATCTAAAGGAATGTTCAGCTCTGTTAGTTCAATCCAATGATCACTAAGAATTGTCTGTGAATGCTTCCGTTTGGTTTTTAGATGAAGTAATTTCCTTTACTACAGTAGGCCTCAAAGCAGTCCAAATCTCCAATCGCAGATTCTACAAAAAGATTGTTTACAACCTGCTCTATCTATAGGAATGTTCAACTCTGTGAGTCGAATGCAATCATCACAAAGTAGTTTCTGAGAATGCTTCCATCTAGTTTTTATGTGAAGAGTTTCCTTTTCCACAACAGGCCTCAAAGCCCTCCAAATGTCCACTTGCAGATTCTAGAAAAAGAGGGATTCAGAGCTGCTCTCTCAAGAGGAAAGTTCAATTCCTGAAGTGGAACACAAACATCACAAAGCAGTTTCTGAGAATGCTTCTGTTAATTTTTCTGTGAAGATGAACCCGTTTCCAACGAAATCTTCACAGAGGTCCACATATCCACTTCCAGAATCCAAAGAAGGAGAGTTTCAAAACTGCTCCATCAGCAGGATTGTTCACCTCTGTGAGTTGAATGCAGTCATCACAGGAAACATTCTGAGAATGCTTCTGTCTAGGTTTGATGTGAAGATATACCCGTTTCGAAGGAAGGCCACAAAGTGGTCCAAATATCCACTTGCAGATTCTACAAAAAGAGTGTTTGAAAGCTGAACTATGAAAGCAAGGTTCAACTCTGTGAGTTGAATGCAAACATCACAAAGAAGTTTCTCACAATGCTTCCGTGTAGTTCTGGGAAGTATATCCCGTTTCCAACGACATCCTCAGAGAAGTCCAAATATCCACTTGCAGATTCTACAGAAAGTGTGTTTGGAAACTGCTCCATCTAAAGGAATGTTCAGCTCTGTTAGTTCAATCCAATGATCACTAAGAATTGTCTGTGAATGCTTCCGTTTGGTTTTTAGATGAAGTTATTTCCTTTACTACAGTAGGCCTCAAAGCAGAACAAATCTCCAATCGCAGATTCTACAAAAAGATTGTTTACAACCTGCTCTATCTATAGGAATGTTCAACTCTGTGAGTCGAATGCAATCATCACAAAGTAGTTTCTGAGAATGCTTCCATCTAGTTTTTATGTGAAGATTTTCCTATTCCACCACAGGCCTCAAAGCCCTCCAAATGTCCACTTGCAGATTCTAGAATAAGAGGGTTTCAGAGCTGCTCTATCAAGAGGAAAGTTCAATTCCTGAAGTGGAACACAAACATCACAAAGCAGTTTCTGAGAATGCTTCTGTTTAGTTTTTCTGTGAAGATGAACCCGTTTCCAACGAAATCTTCACAGAGGTCCACATATCCACTTGCAGAATCCAAAGAAAGAGAGTTTCAAAACTGCTCCATCAGCAGGATTGTTCACCTCTGTGAGTTGAATGCAGTCATCACAGGAAACATTCTGAGAATGCTTCTGTCTAGGTTTGATGTGAAGATATACCCGTTTCGAAGGAAGGCCACAAAGTGGTCCAAATATCCACTTGCAGATTCTACAAAAAGAGTGTTTGAAAGCTGAACTATGAAAGCAAGGTTCAACTCTGTGAGTTGAATGCAAACATCAAAAAGAAGTTTCTCACAATGCTTCCGTGTAGTTCTGGGAAGTTTATCCCGTTTCCAACGAAATCCTCAGAGAGGTCCAAATATCCACTTGCAGATTCTACAGAAAGTGTGTTTGGAAACTGCGCCATCTAAAGGAATGTTCAGCTCTGTTAGTTCAATGCCATGATCACTAAGAATTGTCTGTGAATGCTTCCGTTTGGTTTTTAGATGAAGTTATTTCCTTTACTACAGTAGGCCTCAAAGCAGTCCAAATCTCCAATCGCAGATTCTACAAAAAGATTGTTTACAACCTGCTCTATCTATAGGAATGTTCAACTCTGTGAGTCGAATGCAATCATCACAAAGTAGTTTCTGAGAATGCTTCCATCTAGTTTTTATGTGAAGATTTTCCTTTTCCACCACAGGCCTCAAAGCCCTCCAAATGTCCACTTGCAGATTCTAGAAAAAGAGGGTTTCAGAGCTGCTCTGTCAAGAGGAAAGTTCAATTCCTGAAGTGGAACACAAACATCACAAAGCAGTTTCTGAGAATGCTCCTGTTTAGTTTTTCTGTGAAGATGAACCCGTTTCCAACGAAATCTTCACAGAGGTCCACATATCCACTTGCAGAATCCAAAGAAAGAGAGTTTCAAAACTGCTCCATCAGCAGGATTGTTCACCTCTGTGAGTTGAATGCAGTCATCACAGGAAACATTCTGAGAATGCTTCTGTCTAGGTTTGATGTGAAGATATACCCGTTTCGAAGGAAGGCCACAAAGTGGTCCAAATATCCACTTGCAGATTCTACAAAAAGAGTGTTTGAAAGCTGAACTATGAAAGCAAGGTTCAACTCTGTGAGTTGAATGCAAACATCACAAAGAAGTTTCTCAGAATGCTTCCGTGTAGTTCTGGGAAGTTTATCCCGTTTCCAACGAAATCCTCAGAGAGGTCCAAATATCCACTTGCAGATTCTACAGAAAGTGTGTTTGGAAACTGCGCCATCTAAAGGAATGTTCAGCTCTGTTAGTTCAATGCAATGATCACTAAGAATTGTCTGTGAATGCTTCCGTTTGGTTTTTAGATGAAGTTATTTCCTTTACTACAGTAGGCCTCAAAGCAGTCCAAATCTCCAATCGCAGATTCTACAAAAAGATTGTTTACAACCTGCTCTATCTATAGGAATGTTCAACTCTGTGAGTCGAATGCAATCATCACAAAGTAGTTTCTGAGAATGCTTCCATCTAGTTTTTATGTGAAGATTTTCCTTTTCCACCACAGGCCTCAAAGCCCTCCAAATGTCCACTTGAAGATTCTAGAAAAAGAGGGTTTCAGAGCTGCTCTGTCAAGAGGAAAGTTCAATTCTTGAAGTGGAACACAAACATCACAAAGCAGTTTCTGAGAATGCTCCTGTTTAGTTTTTCTGTGAAGATGAACCCGTTTCCAACGAAATCTTCACAGAGGTCCACATATCCACTTGCAGAATCCAAAGAAAGAGAGTTTCAAAACTGCTCCATCAGCAGGATTGTTCACCTCTGTGAGTTGAATGCAGTCATCACAGGAAACATTCTGAGAATGCTTCTGTCTAGGTTTGATGTGAAGATATACCCGTTTCGAAGGAAGGCCAGAAAGTGGTCCAAATATCCACTTGCAGATTCTACAAAAAGAGTGTTTGAAAGCTGAACTATGAAAGCAAGGTTCAACTCTGTGAGTTGAATGCAAACATCACAAAGAAGTTTCTCAGAATGCTTCCGTGTAGTTCTGGGAAGTTTATCCCGTTTCCAACGAAATCCTCAGAGAAGTCCAAATATCCACTTGCAGATCCTACAGAAGGTGGGTTTGGAAACTGCTCCATCTAAAGGAATGTTCAGCTCTGTTAGTTCAATCCAATGATCACTAAGAATTGTCTGTGAATGCTTCCGTTTGGTTTTTAGATGAAGTTATTTCATTTACTACAGTAGGCCTCAAAGCAGTCCAAATCTCCAATTGCAGATTCTACAAAAAGATTGTTTACAACCTGCTCTATCTATAGGAATGTTCAACTCTGTGAGTCGAATGCAATCATCACAAAGTAGTTTCTGAGAATGCTTCCATCTAGTTTTTATGTGAAGATTTTCCTTTTCCACCACAGGCCTCAAAGCCCTCCAAATGTCCACTTGCAGATTCTAGAAAAAGAGGGTTTCAGAGCTGCTCTTTCAAGAGGAAAGTTCAATTCCTGAAGTGGAACACAAACATCACAAAGCAGTTTCTGAGAATGCTTCTGTTTAGTTTTTCTGTGAAGATGAACCCGTTTCCAACGAAATCTTCACAGAGGTCCACATATCCACTTGCAGAATCCAAAGAAAGAGAGTTTCAAAACTGCTCCATCAGCAGGATTGTTCACCTCTGTGAGTTGAATGCAGTCATCACAGGAAACATTCTGAGAATGCTTCTGTCTAGGTTTGATGTGAAGATATACCCGTTTCGAAGGAAGGCCACAAAGTGGTCCAAATATCCACTTGCAGATTCTACAAAAAGAGTGTTTGAAAGCTGAACTATGAAAGCAAGGTTCAACTCTGTGAGTTGAATGCAAACATCACAAAGAAGTTTCTCACAATGCTTCCGTGTAGTTCTGGGAAGTTTATCCCGTTTCCAACGAAATCCTCAGAGAGGTCCAAATATCCACGTGCAGATTCTACAGAAAGTGGGTTTGGAAACTGCTCCATCTAAAGGAATGTTCAGCTCTGTTAGTTCAATCCAATGATCACTAAGAATTGTCTGTGAATGCTTCCGTTTGGTTTTTAGATGAAGTTATTTTCTTTACTACAGTAGGCCTCAAAGCAGTCCAAATCTCCAATCGCAGATTCTACAAAAAGATTGTTTACAACCTGCTCTGTCTATAGGAATGTTCAACTCTGTGAGTCGAATGCAATCATCACAAAGTAGTTTCTGAGAATGCTTCCATCTAGTTTTTATGTGAAGATTTTCCTTTTCCACCACAGGCCTCAAAGCCCTCCAAATGTCCACTTGCAGATTCTAGAATAAGAGGTTTTCAGAGCTGCTCTGTCAAGAGGAAAGTTCAATTCCTGAAGTGGAACGAAAACATCACAAAGCAGTTTCTGAGAATGCTTCTGTTTAGTTTTTCTGTGAAGATGAACCCGTTTCCAACGAAATCTTCACAGAGGTCCACATATCCACTTGCAGAATCCAAAGAAAGAGAATTTCAAAACTGCTCCATCAGCAGGATTGTTCACCTCTGTGAGTTGAATGCAGTCATCACAGGAAACATTCTGAGAATGCTTCTGTCTAGGTTTGATGTGAAGATATACCCGTTTCGAAGGAAGGCCACAAAGTGGTCCAAATATCCACTTGCAGATTCTACAAAAAGAGTGTTTGAAAGCTGAACTATGAAAGCAAGGTTCAACTCTGTGAGTTGAATGCAAACATCACAAAGAATTTTCTCAGAATGCTTCCGTGTAGTTCTGGGAAGTTTATCCCGTTTTCAACGAAATCCTCAGAGAGGTCCAAATATCCACTTGCAGATTCTACAGAAAGTGTGTTTGGAAACTGCTCCGTCTAAAGGAATGTTCAGCTCTGTTAGTTCTATCCAATGATCACTAAGAATTGTCTGTGAATGCTTCCGTTTGGTTTTTAGATGAAGTTATTTCCTTTACTACAGTAGGCCTCAAAGCAGTCCAAATCTCCAATCGCAGATTCTACAAAAAGATTGTTTACAACCTGCTATATCTATAGGAATGTTCAACTCTGTGAGTCGAATGCAATCATCACAAAGTAGTTTCTGAGAATGCTTCCATCTAGTTTTTATGTGAAGATTTTCCTTTTCCACCACAGGCCTCAAAGCCCTCCAAATATCCACTTGCAGATTCTAGAATAAGAGGGTTTCAGAGCTGCTCTGTCAAGAGGAAAGTTCAATTCCTGAAGTGGAACACAAACATCACAAAGCAGTTTCTGAGAATGCTTCTGTTTAGTTTTTCTGTGAAGATGAACCCGTTTCCAACGAAATCTTCACAGAGGTCCACATATCCACTTGCAGAATCCAAAGAAAGAGAGTTTCAAAACTGCTCCATCAGCAGGATTGTTCACCTCTGTGAGTTGAATGCAGTCATCACAGGAAACATTCTGAGAATGCTTCTGTCTAGGTTTGATGTGAAGATATACCCGTTTCGAAGGAAGGCCACAAAGTGGTCCAAATATCCACTTGCAGATTCTACAAAAAGAGGGTTTGAAAGCTGAACTATGAAAGCAAGGTTCAACTCTGTGAGTTGAATGCAAACATCACAAAGAAGTTTCTCAGAATGCTTCCGTGTAGTTCTGGGAAGTTTATCCCGTTTCCAACGAAATCCTCAGAGAGGTCCAAATATCCACTTGCAGATTCTACAGAAAGTGTGTTTGGAAACTGCGCCATCTAAAGGAATGTTCAGCTCTGTTAGTTCAATGCAATGATCACTAAGAATTGTCTGTGAATGCTTCCGTTTGGTTTTTAGATGAAGTTATTTCCTTTTCTACAGTAGGCCTCAAAGCAGTCCAAATCTCCAATCGCAGATTCTACAAAAAGATTGTTTACAACCTGCTCTATCTATAGGAATGTTCAACTCTGTGAGTCGAATGCAATCATCACAAAGTAGTTTCTGAGAATGATTCCATCTAGTTTTTATGTGAAGATTTTCCTTTTCCACCACAGGCCTCAAAGCCCTCCAAATGTCCACTTGCAGATTCTAGAAAAAGAGGGTTTCAGAGCTGCTCTGTCAAGAGGAAAGTTCAATTCTTGAAGTGGAACACAAACATCACAAAGCAGTTTCTGAGAATGCTCCTGTTTAGATTTTCTGTGAAGATGAACCCTTTTCCAACGAAATCTTCACAGAGGTCCACATATCCACTTGCAGAATCCAAAGAAAGAGAGTTTCAAAACTGCTCCATCAACAGGATTGTTCACCTCTGTGAGTTGAATGCAGTCATCACAGGAAACATTCTGAGAATGCTTCTGTCTAGGTTTGATGTGAAGATATACCCGTTTCGAAGGAAGGCCACAAAGTGGTCCAAATATCCACTTGCAGATTCTACAAAAAGAGTGTTTGAAAGCTGAACTATGAAAGCAAGGTTCAACTCTGTGAGTTGAATGCAAACATCACAAAGAAGTTTCTCAGAATGCTTCCGTGTAGTTCTGGGAAGTTTATCCCGTTTCCAACGAAATCCTCAGAGAGGTCCAAATATCCACTTGCAGATTCTACAGAAAGTGTGTTTGGAAACTGCGCCATCTAAAGGAATGTTCAGCTCTGTTAGTTCAATGCAATGATCACTAAGAATTGTCTGTGAATGCTTCCGTTTGGTTTTTAGATGAAGTTATTTCCTTTACTACAGTAGGCCTCAAAGCAGTCCAAATTTCCAATCGCAGATTCTACAAAAAGATTGTTTACAACCTGCTCTATCTATAGGAATGTTCAACTCTGTGAGTCGAATGCAATCATCACAAAGTAGTTTCTGAGAATGCTTCCATCTAGTTTTTATGTGAAGATTTTCCTTTTCCACCACAGGCCTCAAAGCCCTCCAAATGTCCACTTGCAGATTCTAGAAAAAGAGGGTTTCAGAGCTGCTCTGTCAAGAGGAAAGTTCAATTCTTGAAGTGGAAAACAAACATCACAAAGCAGTTTCTGAGAATGCTTCTGTTTAGTTTTTCTGTGAAGATGAACCCGTTTCCAACAAAATCTACACAGCGGTCCACATATCCACTTGCAGAATCCAAAGAAAGAGAGTTTCAAAACTGCTCCATCAGCAGGATTGTTCACCTCTGTGAGTTGAATGCAGTCATCACAGGAAACATTCTGAGAATGCTTCTGTCTAGGTTTGATGTGAAGATATACCCGTTTCGAAGGAAGGCCACAAAGTGGTCCAAATATCCACTTGCAGATTCTACAAAAAGAGTGTTTGAAAGCTGAACTATGAAAGCAAGGTTGAACTCTGTGAGTTGAATGCAAACATCACAAAGAAGTTTCTCACAATGCTTCCGTGTAGTTCTAGGAAGTTTATCCCGTTTCCAACGAAATCCTCAGAGAGGTCCAAATATCCACTTGCAGATTCTACAGAAAGTGTGTTTGGAAACTCCTCCATCTAAAGGAATGTTCAGCTCTGTTAGTTCAATCCAATGATCACTAAGAATTGTCTGTGAATGCTTCCGTTTGGTTTTTAGATGAAGTTATTTCCTTTACTACAGTAGGCCTCAAAGCAGTCCAAATCTCCAATCGCAGATACTACAAAAAGATTGTTTACAACCTGCTCTATCTATAGGAATGTTCAACTCTGTGAGTCGAATGCAATCATCACAAAGTAGTTTCTGAGAATGCTTCCATCTACTTTTTATGTGAAGATTTTCCTTTTCCACCACAGGCCTCAAAGCCCTCCAAATGTCCACTTGCAGATTCTAGAAAAAGAGGGTTTCAGAGCTGCTCTGTCAAGAGGAAAGCTCAATTCTTGAAGTGGAACACAAACATCACAAAGCAGTTTCTGAGAATGCTCCTGTTTAGTTTTTCTGTGAAGATGAACCCGTTTCCAACGAAATCTTCACAGAGGTCCACATATCCACTTGCAGAATCCAAAGAAAGAGAGTTTCAAAACTGCTCCATCAACAGGATTGTTCACCTCTGTGAGTTGAATGCAGTCATCACAGGAAACATTCTGAGAATGCTTCTGTCTAGGTTTGATGTGAAGATATACCCGTTTCGAAGGAAGGCCACAAAGTGGTCCAAATATCCACTTGCAGATTCTACAAAAAGAGTGTTTGAAAGCTGAACTATGAAAGCAAGGTTCAACTCTGTGAGTTGAATGCAAACATCACAAAGAAGTTTCTCAGAATGCTTCTGTGTAGTTCTGGGAAGTTTATCCCGTTTCCAACGAAATCCTCAGAGAAGTCCAAATATCCACTTGCAGATTCTACAGAAAGTGGGTTTGGAAACTGCTCCATCTAAAGGAATGTTCAGCTCTGTTAGTTCAATCCAATGATCACTAAGAATTGTCTGTGAATGCTTCCGTTTGGTTTTTAGATGAAGTTATTTCCTTTACTACAGTAGGCCTCAAAGCAGTCCAAATCTCCAATCGCAGATTCTACAAAAAGATTGTTTACAACCTGCTCTATCTATAGGAATGTTCAACTCTGTGAGTCGAATGCAATCATCACAAAGTAGTTTCTGAGAATGCTTCCATCTAGTTTTTATGGGAAGATTTTCCTTTTCCACCACAGGCCTCAAAGCCCTCCAAATGTCCACTTGCAGATTCTAGAAAAAGAGGGTTTCAGAGCTGCTCTGTCAAGAGGAAAGTTCAATTCTTGAAGTGGAACACAAACATCACAAAGCAGTTTCTGAGAATGCTCCTGTTTAGTTTTTCTGTGAAGATGAACACGTTTCCAACGAAATCTTCACAGAGGTCCACATATCCACTTGCAGAATCCAAAGAAAGAGAGTTTCAAAACTGCTCCATCAGCAGGATTGTTCACCTCTGTGAGTTGAATGCAGTCATCACAGGAAACATTCTGAGAATGCTTCTGTCTAGGTTTGATGTGAAAATATACCCGTTTCGAAGGAAGGCCACAAAGTGGTCCAAATATCCACTTGCAGATTCCACAAAAAGAGTGTTTGAAAGCTGAACTATGAAAGCAAGGTTCAACTCTGTGAGTTGAATGCAAACATCACAGAGAAGTTTCTCACAATGCTTCCGTGTAGTTCTGGGAAGTTTATCCCGTTTCCAAAGAAATCCTCAGAGAAGTCCAAATATCCACTTGCAGATTCTACAGAAAGTGTGTTTGGAAACTGCTCCATCTAAAGGAATGTTCAGCTCTGTTAGTTCAATGCAATGATCACTAAGAATTGTCTGTGAATGCTTCCGTTTGGTTTTTAGATGAAGTTATTTCCTTTACTACAGTAGGCCTCAAAGCAGTCCAAATCTCCAATCGCAGATTCTACAAAAAGATTGTTTACAACCTGCTCTATGTATAGGAATGTTCAACTCTGTGAGTCGAATGCAATCATCACAAAGTAGTTTCTGAGAATGCTTCCATCTAGTTTTTATGTGAAGATTTTCCTTTTCCACCACAGGCCTCAAAGCCCTCCAAATGTCCACTTGCAGATTCTAGAAAAAGAGGGTTTCAGAGCTGCTCTGTCAAGAGGAAAGTTCAATTCTTGAAGTGGAACACAAACATCACAAAGTAGTTTCTGAGAATGCTTCTGTTTAGTTTTTCTGTGAAGATGAACCCATTTCCAACGAAATCTTCACAGAGGTCCACATATCAACTTGCAGAATCCAAAGAAAGAGAGTTTCAAAAGTGCTCCATCAACAGGATTGTTCACCTCTGTGAGTTGAATGCAGTCATCACAGGAAACATTCTGAGAATGCTTCCTGTCTAGGTTTGATGTGAAGATATACCCGTTTCGAAGGAAGGCCACAAAGTGGTCCAAATATCCACTTGCAGATTCTACAAAAAGAGTGTTTGAAAGCTGAACTATGAAAGCAAGGTTCAACTCTGTGAGTTGAATGCAAACATCACAAAGAAGTTTCTCAGAATGCTTCCGTGTAGTTCTGGGAAGTTTATCCCGTTTCCAACGAAATCCTCAGAGAAGTCCAAATATCCACTTGCAGATTCTACAGAAAGTGTGTTTGGAAACTGCTCCATCTAAAGGAATGTTCACCTCTGTTAGTTCAATCCAATGATCACTAAGAATTGTCTGTGAATGCTTCCGTTTGGTTTTTAGATGAAGTTATTTCCTTTACTACAGTAGGCCTCAAAGCAGTCCAAATCTCCAATCGCAGATTCTACAAAAAGATTGTTTACAACCTGCTCTATCTATAGGAATGTTCAACTCTGTGAGTCGAATGCAATCATCACAAAGTAGTTTCTGAGAATGCATCCATCTAGTTTTTATGTGAAGATTTTCCTTTTCCACCACAGGCCTCAAAGCCCTCCAAATGTCCACTTGCAGATTCTAGAAAAAGACGGTTTCAGAGCTGCTCTGTCAAGAGGAAAGTTCAATTCCTGAAGTGGAACACAAACATCACAAAGCAGTTTCTGAGAATGCTCCTGCTTAGTTTTTCTGTGAAGATGAACCCGTTTCCAACGAAATGTTCACAGAGGTCCACATATCCACTTGCAGAATACAAAGAAAGAGAGTTTCAAAACTGGTCCATCAGCAGGATTGTTCACCTCTGTGAGTTGAATGCAGTCATCACAGAAAACATTCTGAGAATGCTTCTGTCTAGGTTTGATGTGAAGATATACCCGTTTCGAAGGAAGGCCACAAAGTGGTCCAAATATCCACTTGCAGATTCTACAAAAAGAGTGTTTGAAAGCTGAACTATGAAAGCAAGTTTCCACTCTGTGAGTTGAATGCAAACATCACAAAGAAGTTTCTCAGAATGCTTCCGTGTAGTTCTGGGAAGTTTAGCCCGTTTCCAACGAAATCCTCAGAGAGGTCCAAATATCCAGTGGCAGATTCTACAGAAAGTGTGTTTGGAAACTGCGCCATCTAAAGGAATGTTCAGCTCTGTTAGTTCAATCCAATGATCACTAAGAATTGTCTGTGAATGCTTCCGTTTGGTTTTTAGATGAAGTTATTTCCTTTACTACAGTAGGCCTCAAAGCAGTCCAAATCTCCAATCGCAGATTCTACAAAAAGATTGTTTACAACCGGCTCTATCTATAGGAATGTTCAACTCTGTGAGTCGAATGCAATCATCACAAAGTAGTTTCTGAGTATGCTTCCATCTAGTTTTTATGTGAAGAGTTTCCTTTTCCACCACAGGCCTCAAAGCCCTCCAAATGTCCACTTGCAGATTCTAGAAAAAGAGGGTTTCAGAGCTGCTCCGTCAAGAGGAAAGTTCAATTCTTGAAGTGGAACACAAACATCACAAAGCAGTTTCTGAGAATGCTTCTGTTTAGTTTTTCTGTGAAGATGAACCCGTTTCCAACGAAATCTTCACAGAGGTCCACATATCCACTTGCAGAATCCAAAGAAAGAGAGTTTCAAAACTGCTCCATCAGCAGGATTGTTCACCTCTGTGAGTTGAATGCAGTCATCACAGGAAACATTCTGAGAATGCTTCTGTCTAGGTTTGATGTGAAGATATACCCGTTTCGAAGGAAGGCCACAAAGTGGTCCAAATATCCACTTGCAGATTCTACAAAAAGAGTGTTTGAAAGCTGAACTATGAAAGCAAGGTTCAACTCTGTGAGTTGAATGCAAACATCAGAAAGAAGTTTCTCAGAATGCTTCCGTGTAGTTCTGGGAAGTTTATCCCGTTTCCAACGAAATCCTCAGAGAAGTCCAAATATCCACTTGCAGATTCTACAGAAAGTGGGTTTGGAAACTGCTCCAACTAAAGGAATGTTCAGCTCTGTTAGTTCAATCCAATGATCACTAAGAATTGTCTGTGAATGCTTCCGTTTGGTTTTTAGATGAAGTTATTTCCTTTACTACAGTAGGCCTCAAAGCAGTCCAAATCTCCAATCGCAGATTCTACAAAAAGATTGTTTACAACCTGCTCTATCTATAGGAATGTTCAACTCTGTGAGTCGAATGCAATCATCACAAAGTAGTTTCTGAGAATGCTTCCATCTAGTTCTTATGTGAAGATTTTCCTTTTCCACCACAGGCCTCAAAGCCCTCCAAATGTCCACTAGCAGATTCTAGAAAAAGAGGGTTTCAGAGCTGCTCTGTCAAGAGGAAAGTTCAATTCTTGAAGTGGAACACAAACATCACAAAGCAGTTTCTGAGAATGCTCCTGTTTATTTTTTCTGTGAAGATGAACCCGTTTCCAACGAAATCTTCACAGAGGTCCACATATCCACTTGCAGAATCCAAAGAAAGAGAGTTTCAAAACTGCTCCATCAGCAGGATTTTTCACCTCTGTGAGTTGAATGCAGTCATCACAGGAAACATTCTGAGAATGCTTCTGTCTAGGTTTGATGTGAAGATATACCCGTTTCGAAGGAAGGCCACAAAGTGGTCCAAATATCCACTTGCAGATTCTACAAAAAGAGTGTTTGAAAGCTGTACTATGGAAGCAAGTTTCAACTCTGTGAGTTGAATGCAAACATCAGAAAGAAGTTTCTCAGAATGCTTCCGTGTAGTTCTGGGAAGTTTATCCCGTTTCCAACGAAATCCTCAGAGAAGTCCAAATATCCACTTGCAGATTCTACAGAAAGTGGGTTTGGAAACTGCTCCAACTAAAGGAATGTTCAGCTCTGTTAGTTCAATCCAATGATCACTAAGAATTGTCTGTGAATGCTTCCGTTTGGTTTTTAGATGAAGTTATTTCCTTTACTACAGTAGGCCTCAAAGCAGTCCAAATCTCCAATCGCAGATTCTACAAAAAGATTGTTTACAACCTGCTCTATCTATAGGAATGTTCAACTCTGTGAGTCGAATGCAATCATCACAAAGTAGTTTCTGAGAATGCTTCCATCTAGTTTTTATGTGAAGATTTTCCTTTTCCACCACAGGCCTCAAAGCCCTCCAAATGTCCACTTGCAGATTCTAGAAAAAGAGGGTTTCAGAGCTGCTCTGTAAAGAGGAAAGTTCAATTCTTGAAGTGGAACACAAACATCACAAAGTAGTTTCTGAGAATGCTTCTGTTTAGTTTTTCTGTGAAGATGAACCCGTTTCCAACGAAATCTTCACAGAGGTCCACATATCAACTTGCAGAATCCAAAGAAAGAGAGTTTCAAAAGTGCTCCATCAACAGGATTGTTCACCTCTGTGAGTTGAATGCAGTCATCACAGGAAACATTCTGAGAATGCTTCTGTCTAGGTTTGATGTGAAGATATACCCGTTTCGAAGGAAGGCCACAAAGTGGTCCAAATATCCACTTGCAGATTCTACAAAAAGAGTGTTTGAAAGCTGAACTATGAAAGCAAGGTTCAACTCTGTGAGTTGAATGCAAACATCACAAAGAAGTTTCTCACAATGCTTCCGTGTAGTTCTGGGAAGTTTATCCCGTTTCCAACGAAATCCTCAGAGAAGTCCAAATATCCACTTGCAGATTCTACAGAAAGTGTGTTTGGAAAATGCTCCATCTAAAGGAATGTTCAGCTCTGTTAGTTCAATGCAATGATCACTAAGAATTGTCTGTGAATGCTTCCGTTTGGTTTTTAGATGAAGTTATTTCCTTTACTACAGTAGGCCTCAAAGCAGTCCAAATCTCCAATCGCAGATTCTACAAAAAGATTGTTTACAACCTGCTCTATCTATAGGAATGTTCAACTCTGTGAGTCGAATGCAATCATCACAAAGGAGTTTCTGAAAATGCTTCCATCTAGTTTTTATGTGAAGATTTTCGTTTTCCACCACAGTCCTCAAAGCCCTCCAAATGTCCACTTGCAGATTCTAGAAAAAGAGGGTTTCAGAGCTGCTCTGTCAAGAGAAAAGTTCTATTCTTGAAGTGGAACACAAACATCACAAAGCAGTTTCTGAGAATGCTCCTGTTTAGTTTTTCTGTGAAGATGAACCCGTTTCCAACGAAATCTTCACAGAGGTCCACATATCCACTTGCAGAATCCAAAGAAAGGGAGTTTCAAAACTGCTCCATCAGCAGGATTGTTCACCTCTGTGAGTTGAATGCAGTCATCACAGGAAACATTCTGAGAATGCTTCTGTCTAGGTTTGATGTGAAGATATACCCGTTTCGAAGGAAGGCCACAAAGTGGTCCAAATATCCACTTGCAGATTCTACAAAAAGAGTGTTTGAAAGCTGAACTATGAAAGCAAGGTTCAACTCTGTGAGTTGAATGCAAACATCACAAAGAAGTTTCTCAGAATGCTTCCGTGTAGTTCTGGGAAGTTTATCCCGTTTCCAACGAAATCCTCAGAGAGGTCCAAATATCCACTTGCAGATTCTACAGAAAGTGTGTTTGGAAACTGCGCCATCTAAAGCAATGTTCAGCTCTGTTAGTTCAATGCAATGATCACTAAGAATTGTCTGTGAATGCTTCCGTTTGGTTTTTAGATGAAGTTATTTCCTTTACTACAGTAGGCCTCAAAGCAGTCCAAATCTCCAATCGCAGATTCTACAAAAAGATTGTTTACAACCTGCTCTATCTATAGGAATGTTCAACTCTGTGAGTCGAATGCAATCATCACAAAGTAGTTTCTGAGAATGCTTCCATCTAGTTTGTATGTGAAGATTTTCCTTTTCCACCACAGGCCTCAAAGCCCTCCAAATGTCCACTTGCAGATTCTAGAATAAGAGGGTTTCAGAGCTGCTCTGTCAAGAGGAAAGTTCAATTCTTGAAGTGGAACACAAACATCACAAAGTAGTTTCTGAGAATGCTTCTGTTTAGTTTTTCTGTGAAGATGAACCCGTTTCCAACGAAATCTTCACAGAGGTCCACATATCCACTTGCAGAATCCAAAGAAAGGGAGTTTCAAAACTGCTCCATCAACAGGATTGTTCACCTCTGTGAGTTGAATGCAGTCATCACAGGAAACATTCTGGAGAATGCTTCTGTCTAGGTTTGATGTGAAGATATACCCGTTTCGAAGGAAGGCCACAAAGTGGTCCAAATATCCACTTGCAGATTCTACAAAAAGAGTGTTTGAAAGCTGAACTATGAAAGCAAGGTTCAACTCTGTGAGTTGAATGCAAACATCACAAAGAAGTTTCTCACAATGCTTCCGTGTAGTTCTGGGAAGTTTATCCCGTTTCCAACGAAATCCTCAGAGAAGTCCAAATATCCACTTGCAGATTCTACAGAAAGTGTGTTTGGAAACTGCTCCATCTAAAGGAATGTTCAGCTCTGTTAGTTCAATCCAATGATCACTAAGAATTGTCTGTGAATGCTTCCGTTTGGTTTTTAGATGAAGTTATTTCCTTTACTACAGTAGGCCTCAAAGCAGTCCAAATCTCCAATCGCAGATTCTACAAAAAGATTGTTTACAACCTGCTCTATCTATAGGAATGTTCAACTCTGTGAGTCGAATGCAATCATCACAAAGTAGTTTCTGAGAATGCTTCCATCTAGTTTTTATGTGAAGATTTTCCTTTTCCACCACAGGCCTCAAAGCCCTCCAAATGTCCACTTGCAGATTCTAGAAAAAGAGGGTTTCAGAGCTGCTCTGTCAAGAGGAAAGTTCAATTCTTGAAGTGGAACACAAACATCACAAAGTAGTTTCTGAGAATGCTTCTGTTTACTTTTTCTGTGAAGATGAACCCGTTTCCAACGAAATCTTCAAAGAGGTCCACATATCAACTTGCAGAATCCAAAGAAAGAGAGTTTCAAAAGTGCTCCATCAACAGGATTGTTCACCTCTGTGAGTTGAATGCAGTCATCACAGGAAACATTCTGAGAATGCTTCTGTCTAGGTTTGATGTGAAGATACACCCGTTTCGAAGGAAGGCCACAAAGTGGTCCAAATATCCACTTGCAGATTCTACAAAAAGAGTGTTTGAAAGCTGAACTATGAAAACAAGGTTCAACTCTGTGAGTTGAATGCAAACATCACAAAGAAGTTTCTCACAATGCTTCCGTGTAGTTCTGGGAAGTTTATCCCGTTTCCAACGAAATCCTCAGAGAAGTCCAAATATCCACTTGCAGATTCTACAGACAGTGGGTTTGGAAACTGCGCCATCTAAAGGAATGTTCAGCTCTGTTAGTTCAATCCAATGATCACTAAGAATTGTCTGTGAATGCTTCCGTTTGGTTTTTAGATGAAGTTATTTCCTTTACTACAGTAGGCCTCAAAGCAGTCCAAATCTCCAATCGCAGATTCTACAAAAAGATTGTTTACAACCTGCTCTATCTATAGGAATGTTCAACTCTGTGAGTCGAATGCAATCATCACAAAGTAGTTTCTGAGAATGCTTCCATCTAGTTTTTATGTGAAGATTTTCCTTTTCCACCACAGGCCTCAAAGCCCTCCAAATGTCCACTTGCAGATTCTAGAATAAGAGGGTTTCAGAGCTGCTCTGTCAAGAGGAAAGTTCAATTCCTGAAGTGGAACACAAACATCACAAAGCAGTTTCTGAGAATGCTTCTGTTTAGTTTTTCTGTGAAGATGAACCCGTTTCCAACGAAATCTTCACAGAGGTCCACATATCCACTTGCAGAATCCAAAGAAAGAGAGTTTCAAAACTGCTCCATCAACAGGATTGTTCACCTCTGTGAGTTGAATGCAGTCATCACAGGAAACATTCTGAGAATGCTTCTGTCTAGGTTTGATGTGAAGATATACCCGTTTCGAAGGAAGGCCACAAAGTGGTCCAAATATCCACTTGCAGATTCTACAAAAAGAGTGTTTGAAAGCTGAACTATGAAAGCAAGGTTCAACTCTGTGAGTTGAATGCAAACATCACAAAGAAGTTTCTCACAATGCTTCCGTGTAGTTCTGGGAAGTTTATCCCGTTTCCAACGAAATCCTCAGAGAAGTCCAAATATCCACTTGCAGATTCTACAGAAAGTGTGTTTGGAAACTGCGCCATCTAAAGGAATGTTCAGCTCTGTTAGTTCAATGCAATGATCACTAAGAATTGTCTGTGAATGCTTCCGTTTGGTTTTTAGATGAAGTTATTTCCTTTACTACAGTAGGCCTCAAAGCAGTCCAAATCTCCAATCGCAGATTCTACAAAAAGATTGTTTACAACCTGCTCTATGTATAGGAATGTTCAACTCTGTGAGTCGAATGCAATCATCACAAAGTAGTTTCTGAGAATGCTTCCATCTAGTTTTTATGTGAAGATTTTCCTTTTCCACCACAGGCCTCAAAGCCCTCCAAATGTCCACATGCAGATTCTAGAAAAAGAGGGTTTCAGAGCTGCTCTGTCAGGAGGAAAGTTCAATTCCTGAAGTGGAACACAAACATCACAAAGCAGTTTCTGAGAATGCTCCTGTTTAGTTTTTCTGTGAAGATGAACCCGTTTCCAACGAAATCTTCACAGAGGTCCACATATCCACTTGCAGAATCCAAAGAAAGAGAGTTTCAAAACTGCTCCATCAGCAGGATTGTTCACCTCTGTGAGTTGAATGCAGTCATCACAGGAAACATTCAGAGAATGCTTCTGTCAAGGTTTGATGTGAAGATATACCCGTTTCGAAGGAAGGCCACAAAGTGGTCCAAATATCCACTTGCAGATTCTACAAAAAGAGTGTTTGAAAGCTGAACCATGAAAGCAAGGTTCAACTCTGTGAGTTGAATGCAAACATCACAAAGAAGTTTCTCAGAATGCTTCCATGCAGTTCTGGGAAGTTTATCCCTTTTCCAACGAAATCCTCAGAGAGGTCCAAATATCCACTTGCAGATTCTACAGAAAGTGTGTTTGGAAACTGCTCCATCTAAAGGAATGTTCAGCTCTGTTAGTTCAATCCAATGATCACTAAGAATTGTCTGTGAATGCTTCCGTTTGGTTTTTAGATGAAGTTATTTCCTTTACTACAGTAGGCCTCAAAGCAGTCCAAATCTCCAATCGCAGATTCTACAAAAAGATTGTTTACAACCTGCTCTATCTATAGGAATGTTCAACTCTGTGAGTCGAATGCAATCATCACAAAGTAGTTTCTGAGAATGCTTCCATCTAGTTTTTATGTGAAGATTTTCCTTTTCCACCACAGGCCTCAAAGCCCTCCAAATGTCCACTTGCAGACTCTAGAAAAAGAGGGTTTCAGAGCTGCTCTGTCAAGAGGAAAGTTCAATTCTTCAAGTGGAACACAAACATCACAAAGCAGTTTCTGAGAATGCTCCTGTTTAGTTTTTCTGTGAAGATGAACCCGTTTCTAACGAAATCTTCACAGAGGTCCACATATCCACTTGCAGAATCCAAAGAAAGGGAGTTTCAAAACTGCTCCATCAGCAGGATTGTTCACCTCTGTGAGTTGAATGCAGTCATCACAGGAAACATTCTGAGAATGCTTCTGTCTAGGTTTGATGTGAAGATATACCCGTTTCGAAGGAAGGCCACAAAGTGGTCCAAATATCCACTTGCAGATTCTACAAAAAGAGTGTTTGAAAGCTGAACTATGAAAGCAAGGTTCAACTCTGTGAGTTGAATGCAAACATCACAAAGAAGTTTCTCAGAATGCTTCCGTGTAGTTCTGGGAAGTTTATCCCGTTTCCAACGAAATCCTCAGAGAGGTCCAAATATCCACTTGCAGATTCTACAGAAAGTGTGTTTGGAAACTGCGCCATCTAAAGGAATGTTCAGCTCTGTTAGTTCAATGCAATGATCACTAAGAATTGTCTGTGAATGCTTCCGTTTGGTTTTTAGATGAAGTTATTTCCTTTACTACAGTAGGCCTCAAAGCAGTCCAAATCTCCAATCGCAGATTCTACAAAAAGATTGTTTACAACCTGCTCTATCTATAGGAATGTTCAACTCTGTGAGTCGAATGCAATCATCACAAAGTAGTTTCTGAGAATGCTTCCATCTAGTTTTTATGTGAAGATTTTCCTTTTCCACCACAGGCCTCAAAGCCCTCCAAATGTCCACTTGCAGATTCTAGAAAAAGAGGGTTTCAGAGCTGCTCTGTCAAGAGGAAAGTTCAATTCTTGAAGTGGAACACAAACATCACAAAGCAGTTTCTGAGAATGCTTCTGTTTAGTTTTTCTGTGAAGATGAACCCGTTTCCAACGAAATCTTCCCAGAGGTCCACATATCCACTTGCAGAATCCAAAGAAAGAGAGTTTCAAAACTGCTCCATCAGCAGGATTGTTCACCTCTGTGAGTTGAATGCAGTCATCACAGGAAACATTCTGAGAATGCTTCTGTCTAGGTTTGATGTGAAGATATACCCGTTTCGAAGGAAGGCCACAAAGTGGTCCAAATATCCACTTGCAGATTCTACAAAAAGAGTGTTTGAAAGCTGAACTATGAAAGCAAGGTTCAACTCTGTGAGTTGAATGCAAACATCACAAAGAAGTTTCTCAGAATACTTCCGTGTAGTTCTGGGAAGTTTAGCCCGTTTCCAACGAAATCCTCAGAGAGGTCCAAATATCCAGTGGCAGATTCTACAGAAAGTGTGTTTGGAAACTGCGCCATCTAAAGGAATGTTCAGCTCTGTTAGTTCAATCCAATGATCACTAAGAATTGTCTGTGAATGCTTCCGTTTGGTTTTTAGATGAAGTTATTTCCTTTACTACAGTAGGCCTCAAAGCAGTCCAAATCTCCAATCGCAGATTCTACAAAAAGATTGTGTACAACCTGCTCTATCTATAGGAATGTTCAACTCTGTGAGTCGAATGCAATCATCACAAAGTAGTTTCTGAGAATGCTTCCATCTAGTTTTTATGTGAAGATTTTCCTTTTCCACCACAGGCCTCAAAGCCCTCCAAATGTCCACTTGCAGATTCTAGAAAAAGAGGGTTTCAGAGCTGCTCTGTCAAGAGGAAAGTTGAATTCTTGAAGAGGAACACAAACATCACAAAGCAGTTTCTGAGAATGCTCCTGTTTAGTTTTTCTGTGAAGATGAACCCGTTTCCAACGAAATCTTCACAGAGGTCCACATATCCACTTGCAGAATCCAAAGAAAGAGAGTTTCAAAACTGCTCCATCAGCAGGATTGTTCACCTCTGTGAGTTGAATGCAGTCATCACAGGAAACATTCTGAGAATGCTTCTGTCTAGGTTTGATGTGAAGATATACCCGTTTCGAAGGAAGGCCACAAAGTGGTCCAAGTATCCACTTGCAGATTCTACAAAAAGAGTGTTTGAAAGCTGAACTATGAAAGCAAGGTTCAACTCTGTGAGTTGAATGCAAACATCCAAAGAAGTTTCTCAGAATGCTTCCGTGTAGTTCTGGGAAGTTTATCCCGTTTCCAACGAAATCCTCAGAGAAGTCCAAATATCCACTTGCAGATTCTACAGAAAGTGTGTTTGGAAACTGCGCCATCAAAGGGAATGTTCAGCTCTGTTAGTTCAATCCAATGATCACTAAGAATTGTCTGTGAATGCTTCCGTTTGGTTTTTAGATGAAGTTATTTCCTTTACTACAGTAGGCCTCAAAGCAGTCCAAATCTCCAATCGCAGATTCTACAAAAAGATTGTTTACAACCTGCTCTATCTATAGGAATGTTCAACTCTGTGAGTCGAATGCAATCATCACAAAGTAGTTTCTGAGAATGCTTCCATCTAGTTTTTATGTGAAGATTTTCCTTTTCCACCACAGGCCTCAAAGCCCTCCAAATGTCCACTTGCAGATTCTAGAATAAGAGGGTTTCAGAGCTGCTCGGTCAAGAGGAAAGTTCAATTCTTGAAGTGGAACACAAACATCACAAAGCAGTTTCTGAGAATGCTCCTGTTTAGTTTTTCTGTGAAGATGAACCCGTTTCCAACGAAATCTTCACAGAGGTCCACATATCCACTTGCAGAATCCAAAGAAAGAGAGTTTCAAAACTGCTCCAACAGCAGGATTGTTCACCTCTGTGAGTTGAATGCAGTAATCACCGGAAACATTCGGAGAATGCTTCTGTCTAGGTTTGATGTGAAGATATACCCGTTTCGAAGGAAGGCCACAAAGTGGTCCAAATATCCACTTGCAGATTCTACAAAAAGAGTGTTTGAAAGCTGAACTATGAAAGCAAGGTTCAACTCTGTGAGTTGAATGCAAACATCACAAAGAAGTTTCTCACAATGCTTCCGTGTAGTTCTGGGAAGTTTATCCCGTTTCCAACGAAATCCTCAGAGAAGTCCAAATATCCACTTGCAGATTCTACAGAAAGTGTGTTTGGAAACTGCTCCATCTAAAGGAATGTTCAGCTCTGTTAGTTCAATGCAATGATCACTAAGAATTGTCTGTGAATGCTTCCGTTTGATTTTTAGATGAAGTTATTTCCTTTACTACAGTAGGCCTCAAAGCAGTCCAAATCTCCAATCGCAGATTCTACAAAAAGATTGTTTACAACCTGCTCTATCTATAGGAATGTTCAACTCTGTGAGTCGAATGCAATCATCACAAAGTAGTTTCTGAGAATGCTTCCATCTAGTTTTTATGTGAAGATTTTCCTTTTCCACCACAGGCCTCAAAGCCCTCCAAATGTCCACTTGCAGATTCTAGAATAAGAGGGTTTCAGAGCTGCTCTGTCAAGAGGAAAGTACAATTCCTGAAGTGGAACACAAACATCACAAAGCAGTTTCTGATAATGCTTCTGTTTAGTTTTTCTGTGAAGATGAACCCGTTTCCAACGAAATCTTCACAGAGGTCCACATATCCACTTGCAGAATCCAAAGAAAGAGAGTTTCAAAACTGCTCCATCAGCAGGATTGTTCACCTCTGTCAGTTGAATGCAGTCATCACAGGAGCCATTCTGAGAATGCATCTGTCTAGGTTTGATGTGAAGATATACCCGTTTCGAAGGAAGGCCACAAAGTGGTCCAAATATCCACTTGCAGATTCTACAAAAAGAGTGTTTGAAAGCTGAACTATGAAAGCAAGGTTCAACTCTGTGAGTTGAATGCAAACATCACAAAGAAGTTTCTCAGAATGCTTCCGTGTAGTTCTGGGAAGTTTATCCCGTTTCCAACGAAATCCTCAGAGAGGTCCAAATATCCACTTGCAGATTCTACAGAAAGTGTGTTTGGAAACTGCGCCATCTAAGGGAATGTTCAGCTCTGTTAGTTCAATCCAATGATCACTAAGAATTGTCTGTGAATGCTTCCGTTTGGTTTTTAGATGAAGTTATTTCCTTTACTACAGTAGGCCTCAATGCAGTCCAAATCTCCAATCGCAGATTCTACAAAAAGATTGTTTACAACCTGCTCTATCTATAGGAATGTTCAACTCTGTGAGTCGAATGCAATCATCACAAAGTAGGTTCTGAGAATGCTTCCATCTAGTTTTTATGTGAAGATTTTCCTTTTCCACCACAGGCCTCAAAGCCCTCCAAATGTCCACTTGCAGATTCTAGAAAAAGAGGGTTTCAGAGCTGCTCTGTCAAGAGGAAAGTTCAATTCCTGAAGTGGAACACAAACATCACAAAGCAGTTTCTGAGAATGCTTCTGTTTAGTTTTTCTGTGAAGATGAACCCGTTTCCAACGAAATCTTCACAGAGGTCCACATATCCACTTGCAGAATCCAAAGAAAGAGAGTTTCAAAACTGCTCCATCAACAGGATTGTTCACCTCTGTGAGTTGAATGCAGTCATCACAGGAAACATTCTGAGAATGCTTCTGTCTAGGTTTGATGTGAAGATATACACGTTTCGAAGGAAGGCCACAAAGTGGTCCAAATATCCACTTGCAGATTCTACAAAAAGAGTGTTTGAAAGCTGAACTATGAAAGCAAGGTTCAACTCTGTGAGTTGAATGCAAACATCACAAAGAAGTTTCTCACAATGCTTCCGTGTAGTTCTGGGAAGTTTATCCCGTTTCCAACGAAATCCTCAGAGAGGTCCAAATATCCACTTGCAGATTCTACAGAAAGTGTGTTTGGAAACTGCGCCATCTAAAGGAATGTTCAGCTCTGTTAGTTCAATGCAATGATCACTAAGAATTGTCTGTGAATGCTTCCGTTTGGTTTTTAGATGAAGTTATTTCCTTTTCTACAGTAGGCCTCAAAGCAGTCCAAATCTCCAATCGCAGATTCTAGAAAAAGATTGTTTACAACCTGCTCCATCTATAGGAATGTTCAACTCTGTGAGTCGAATGCAATCATCACAAAGTAGTTTCTGAGAATGCTTCCATCTAGTTTTTATGTGAAGATTTTCCTTTTCCACCACAGGCCTCAAAGCCCTCCAAATGTCCACTTGCAGATTCTAGAATAAGAGGGTTTCAGAGCTGCTCTGTCAAGAGGAAAGTTCAATTCTTGAAGTGGAACACAAACATCACAAAGCAGTTTCTGAGAATGCTTCTGTTTAGTTTTTCTGTGAAGATGAACCCGTTTCCAACGAAATCTTCACAGAGGTCCACATATCCACTTGCAGAATCCAAAGAAAGAGAGTTTCAAAACTGCTCCAACAGCAGGATTGTTCACCTCTGTGAGTTGAATGCAGTCATCACAGGAAACATTCTGAGAATGCTTCTGTCTAGGTTTGATGTGAAGATATACCCGTTTCGAAGGAAGGCCACAAAGTGGTCCAAATATCCACTTGCAGATTCTACAAAAAGAGTGTTTGAAAGCTGAACTATGAAAGCAAGGTTCAACTCTGTGAGTTGAATGCAAACATCACAAAGAAGTTTCTCAGAATGCTTCCCTGTAGTTCTGGGAAGTTTATCCCTTATCCAACGAAATCCTCAGAGAAGTCCAAATATCCACTTGCAGATTCTACAGAAAGTGTGTTTGGAAACTGCTCCATCTAAAGGAATGTTCAGCTCTGTTAGTTCAATCCAATGATCACTAAGAATTGTCTGTGAATGCTTTCCGTTTGGTTTTTAGATGAAGTTATTTCCTTTACTACGGTAGGCCTCAAAGCAGTCCAAATCTCCCATTGCAGATTCTACAAAAAGATTGTTTACAACCTGCTCTATCTATAGGAATGTTCAACTCTGTGAGTCGAATGCAATCATCACAAAGTAGTTTCTGAGAATGCTTCCATCTAGTTTTTATGTGAAGATTTTCCTTTTCCACCACAGGCCTCAAAGCCCTCCAAATGTCCACTTGCAGATTCTAGAAAAAGAGGGTTTCAGAGCTGCTCTGTCAAGAGGAAAGTTCAATTCTTGAAGTGGAACACAAACATCACAAAGCAGTTTCTGAGAATGCTCCTGTTTAGTTTTTCTGTGAAGATGAACCCGTTTCCAACGAAATCTTCACAGAGGTCCACATATCCACTTGCAGAATCCAAAGAAAGAGAGTTTCAAAACTGCTCCATCAGCAGGATTGTTCACCTCTGTGAGTTGAATGCAGTCATCACAGGAAACATTCTGAGAATGCTTCTGTCTAGGTTTGATGTGAAGATATACCCGTTTCGAGGGAAGGCCACAAAGTGGTCCAAATATCCACTTGCAGATTCTACAAAAAGAGTGTTTGAAAGCTGAACTATGAAAGCAAGGTTCAACTCTGTGAGTTGAATGCAAACATCACAAAGAAGTTTCTCACAATGCTTCCGTGTAGTTCTGGGAAGTTTATGCCGTTTCCAACGAAATTCTCAGAGAAGTCCAAATATCCACTTGCAGATTCTACAGAAAGTGGGTTTGGAAACTGCTCCATCTAAAGGAATGTTCAGCTCTGTTAGTTCAATCCAATGATCACTAAGAATTGTCTGTGAATGCTTCCGTTTGGTTTTTAGATGAAGTTATTTCCTTTACTACAGTAGGGGTCAAAGCAGTCCAAATCTCCAATCGCAGATTCTACAAAAAGATTGTTTACAACCTGCTCTATCTATAGGAATGTTCAACACTGTGACTCGAATGCAATCATCACAAAGTAGTTTCTGAGAATGCTTCCATCTAGTTTTTATGTGAAGATTTTCCTTTTCCACCACAGGCCTCAAAGCCCTCCAAATGTCCACTTGCAGACTCTAGAAAAAGAGGGTTTCAGAGCTGCTCTGTCAAGAGGAAAGTTCAATTCTTGAAGTGGAACACAAACATCACAAAGCTGTTTCTGAGAATGCTCCTGTTTAGTTTTTCTGTGAAGATGAACCCGTTTCCAACGAAATCTTCACAGAGGTCCACATATCCACTTGCAGAATCCAAAGAAAGAGAGTTTCAAAACTGCTCCATCAGCAGGATTGTTCACCTCTGTGAGTTGAATGCAGTCATCACAGGAAACATTCTGAGAATGCTTCTGTCTAGGTTTGATGTGAAGATATACCCGTTTCGAAGGAAGGCCACAAAGTGGTCCAAATATCCACTTGCAGATTCTACAAAAAGAGTGTTTGAAAGCTGAACTATGAAAGCAAGGTTCAACTCTGTGAGTTGAATGCAAACATCACAAAGAAGTTTCTCAGAATGCTTCCGTGTAGTTCTGGGAAGTTTATCCCGTTTCCAACGAAATCCTCACAGAGGTCCAAATATCCACTTGCAGATTCTACAGAAAGTGTGTTTGGAAACTGCTCCATCTAAAGGAATGTTCAGCTCTGTTAGTTCAATGCAATGATCACTAAGAATTGTCTGTGAATGCTTCCGTTTGGTTTTTAGATGAAGTTATTTCCTTAACTACAGTAGGCCTCAAAGCAGTCCAAATCTCCAATCGCAGATTCTACAAAAAGATTGTTTACAACCTGCTCTATATATAGGAATGTTCAACTCTGTGAGTCGAATGCAATCATCACAAAGTAGTTTCTGAGAATGCTTCCATCTAGTTTTTATGTGAAGATTTTCCTTTTCCACCACAGGCCTCAAAGCCCTCCAAATGTCCACTTGCAGATTCTAGAAAAAGAGGGTTTCAGAGCTGCTCTGTCAAGAGGAAAGTTCAATTCTTGAAGTGGAACACAAACATCACAAAGCAGTTTCTGAGAATGCTCCTGTTTAGTTTTTCTGTGAAGATGAACCCGTTTCCAACGAAATCTTCACAGAGGTCCACATATCCACTTGCAGAATCCAAAGAAAGAGAGTTTCAAAACTGCTCCGTCAGCAGGATTGTTCACCTCTGTGAGTTGAATGCAGTCATCACAGGAAACATTCTGAGAATGCTTCTGTCTAGGTTTGATGTGAAGATATACCCGTTTCGAAGGAAGGCCACAAAGTGGTCCAAATATCCACTTGCAGATTCTACAAAAAGAGGGTTTGAAAGCTGAACTATGAAAGCAAGGTTCAACTCTGTGAGTTGAATGCAAACATCCAAAGAAGTTTCTCAGAATGCTTTTCCGTGTAGTTCTGGGAAGTTTATCCCGTTTCCAACGAAATCCTCAGAGAGGTCCAAATATCCACTTGCAGATTCTACAGAAAGTGTGTTTGGAAACTGCGCCATCTAAAGGAATGTTCAGCTCTGTTAGTTCAATGCCATGATCACTAAGAATTGTCTGTGAATGCTTCCGTTTGGTTTTTAGATGAAGTTATTTCCTTTACTACAGTAGGCCTCAAAGCAGTCCAAATCTCCAATCGCAGATTCTACAAAAAGATTGTTTACAACCTGCTCTATCTATAGGAATGTTCAACTCTGTGAGTCGAATGCAATCATCACAAAGTAGTTTCTGAGAATGCTTCCATCTAGTTTTTATGTGAAGATTTTCCTTTTCCACCACAGGCCTCAAAGCCCTCAAAATGTCCACTTGCAGATTCTAGAAAAAGAGGGTTTCAGAGCTGCTCTGTCAAGAGGAAAGTTCAATTCTTGAAGTGGAACACAAACATCACAAAGTAGTTTCTGAGAATGCTTCTGTTTACTTTTTCTGTGAAGATGAACCCGTTTCCAACGAAATCTTCACAGAGGTCCACATATCAACTTGCAGAATCCAAAGAAAGAGAGTTTCAAAACTGCTCCATCAGCAGGATTGTTCACCTCTGTGAGTTGAATGCAGTCATCACAGGAAACATCCTGAGAATGCTTCTGTCTAGGGTTGATGTGAAGATATACCCGTTTCGAAGGAAGGCCACAAAGTGGTCCAAATATCCACTTGCAGATTCTACAAAAAGAGTGTTTGAAAGCTGAACTATGAAAGCAAGGTTCAACTCTGTGAGTTGAATGCAAACATCACAAAGAAGTTTCTCAGAATGCTTCCGTGTAGTTCTGGGAAGTTTATCCCGTTTCCAACGAAATCCTCAGAGAAGTCCAAATATCCACTTGCAGATTCTACAGAAAGTGGGTTTGGAAACTGCTCCATCTAAAGGAATGTTCAGCTCTGTTAGTTCAATCCAATGATCACTAAGAATTGTCTGTGAATGCTTCCGTTTGGTTTTTAGATGAAGTTATTTCCTTTACTACAGTAGGCCTCAAAGCAGTCCAAATCTCCAATCGCAGATTCTACAAAAAGATTGTTTTCAACCTGCTCTATCTATAGGAATGTTCAACTCTGTGAGTCGAATGCAATCATCACAAAGTAGTTTCTGAGAATGCTTCCATCTAGTTTTTATGTGAAGATTTTCCTTTTCCACCACAGGCCTCAAAGACCTCCAAATGTCCACTTGCAGATTCTAGAAAAAGAGGGTTTCAGAGCTGCTCTCTCAAGAGGAAAGCTCAATTCCTGAAGTGGAACACAAACATCACAAAGCAGTTTCTGAGAATGCTCCTGTTTAGTTTTTCTATGAAGATGAACCCGTTTCCAACGAAATCTTCACAGAGGTCCACATATCCACCTGCAGAATCCAAAGAAAGAGAGTTTCAAAACTGCTCCATCAACAGGATTGTTCACCTCTGTGAGTTGAATGCAGTCATCACAGGAAACATTCTGAGAATGCTTCTGTCTAGGTTTGATGTGAAGATATACCCGTTTCGAAGGAAGGCCTCAAAGTGGTCCAAATATCCACTTGCAGATTCTACAAAAAGAGTGTTTGAAAGCTGAACTATGAAAGCAAGGTTCAACTCTGTGAGTTGAATGCAAACATCACAAAGAAGTTTCTCAGAATGCTTCCATGTAGTTCTGGGAAGTTTAGCCCGTTTCCAATGAAATCCTCAGAGAGGTCCAAATATCCACTTGCAGATTCTACAGAAAGTGTGTTTGGAAACTGTGCCATCTAAAGGAATGTTCAGCTCTGTTAGTTCAATCCAATGATCACTAAGAATTTTCTGTGAATGCTTCCGTTTGGTTTTTAGATGAAGTTATTTCCTTTACTACAGTAGGCCTCAAAGCAGTCCAAATCTCCAATCGCAGATTCTACAAAAAGATTGTTTACAACCTGCTCTATCTATAGGAATGTTCAACTCTGTGAGTCGAATGCAATCATCACAAAGTAGTTTCTGAGAATGCTTCCATCTAGTTTTTATGTGAAGATTTTCCTTTTCCACCACAGGCCTCAAAGCCCTCCAAATGTCCACTTGCAGATTCTAGAAAAAGAGGGTTTCAGAGCTGCTCTGTCAAGAGGAAAGTTCAATTCTTGAAGTGGAACACAAACATCACAAAGCAGTTTCTGAGAATGCTCCTGTTTAGTTATTCTGTGAAGATGAACCCGTTTCCAACGAAATCTACACAGAGGTCCACATATCCACTTGCAGAATCCAAAGAAAGAGAGTTTCAAAACTGCTCCATCAGCAGGATTGTTCACCTCTGTGAGTTGAATGCAGTCATCACAGGAAACATTCTGAGAATGCTTCTGTCTAGGTTTGATGTGAAGATATACCCGTTTCGAAGGAAGGCCACAAAGTGGTCCAAATATCCACTTGCAGATTCTACAAAAAGAGTGTTTGAAAGCTGAACTATGAAAGCAAGGTTCAACTCTGTGAGTTGAATGCAAACATCACAAAGAAGTTTCTCACAATGCTTCCGTGTAGTTCTGGGAAGTTTATCCCGTTTCCAACGAAATCCTCAGAGAAGTCCAAATATCCACTTGCAGATTCTACAGAAAGTGTGTTTGGAAACTGCTCCATCTAAAGGAATGTTCAGCTCTGTTAGTTCAATCCAATGATCACTAAGAATTGTCTGTGAATGCTTCCGTTTGGTTTTTAGATGAAGTTATTTCCTTTACTACAGTAGGCCTCAAAGCAGTCCAAATCTCCAATCACAGATTCTACAAAAAGACTGTTTACAACCTGCTCTATCTATAGGAATGTTCAACTCTGTGAGTCGAATGCAATCATCACAAAGTAGTTTCTGAGAATGCTTCCATCTAGTTATTATGTGAAGATTTTCCTTTTCCACCACAGGCCTCAAAGCCCTCCAAATGTCCACTTGCAGATTCTAGAATAAGAGGGTTTCAGAGCTGCTCTGTCAAGAGGAAAGTTCAATTCCTGAAGTGGAACACAAACATCACAAAGCAGTTTCTGAGAATGCTTCTGTTTAGTTTTTCTGTGAAGATGAACCCGTTTCCAACGAAATCTTCACAGAGGTCCACATATCCACTTGCAGAATCCAAAGAAAGAGAGTTTCAAAACTGCTCCATCAGCAGGATTGTTCACCTCTGTGAGTTGAATGCAGTCATCACAGGAAACATTCTGAGAATGCTTCTGTCTAGGTTTGATGTGAAGATATACCCGTTTCGAAGGAAGGCCACAAAGTGGTCCAAATATCCACTTGCAGATTCTACAAAAAGAGTGTTTGAAAGCTGAACTATGAAAGCAAGGTTCAACTCTGTGAGTTGAATGCAAACATCACAAAGAAGTTTCTCACAATGCTTCCGTGTAGTTCTGGGAAGTTTATCCCGTTTCCAACGAAATCCTCAGAGAGGTCCAAATATCCACTTGCAGATTTTACAGAAAGTGTGTTTGGAAACTACGCCATCTAAAGGAATGTTCAGCTCTGTTAGATCAATGCAATGATCACTAAGAATTGTCTGTGAATGCTTCCGTTTGGTTTTTAGATGAAGTTATTTCCTTTACTACAGTAGGCCTCAAAGCAGTCCAAATCTCCAATCGCAGATTCTACAAAAAGATTGTTTACAACCTGCTCTATCTATAGGAATGTTCAAATCTGTGAGTCGAATGCAATCATCACAAAGTAGTTTCTGAGAATGCTTCCATCTAGTTTTTATGTGAAGATTTTCCTTTTGCACCACAGGCCTCAAAGCCCTCCAAATGTCCACTTGCAGATTCTAGAAAAAGAGGGTTTCAGAGCTGCTCTGTCAAGAGGAAAGTTCAATTCTTGATGTGGAACAAAAACATCACAAAGCAGTTTCTGAGAATGCTCCTGTTTAGTTTTTCTGTGAAGATGAACCCGTTTCCAACGAAATCTTCACAGAGGTCCACATATCCACTTGCAGAATCCAAAGAAAGAGAGTTTCAAAACTGCTCCATCAGCAGGATTGTTCACCTCTGTGAGTTGAATGCAGTCATCACAGGAAACATTCTGAGAATGCTTCTGTCTAGGTTTGATGTGAAGATGTACCCGTTTCAAAGGAAAGCCACAAAGTGGTCCAAATATCCACTTGCAGATTCTACAAAAAGAGTGTTTGAAAGCTGAACTATGAAAGCAAGGTTCAACTCTGTGAGTTGAATGCAAACATCACAAAGATGTTTCTCACAATGCTTCCGTGTAGTTCTGGGAAGTTTATCCCGTTTCCAACGAAATCCTCAGAGAAGTCCAAATATCCACTTACAGATTCTGCAGAAAGTGTGTTTGGAAACTGCTCCATCTAAAGGAATGTTCAGCTCTGTTAGTTCAATCCAATGATCACTAAGAATTGTCTGTGAATGATTCCGTTTGGTTTTTAGATGAAGTTATTTCCTTTACTACAGTAGGCCTCAAAGCAGTCCAAATCTCCAATCGCAGATTCTACAAAAACATTGTTTACAACCTGCTCTATCTATAGGAATGTTCAACTCTGTGAGTCGAATGCAATCATCACAAAGTAGTTTCTGAGAATGCTTCCATCTAGTTTTTATGTGAAGATTTTCCTTTTCCACCACAGGCCTCAAAGCCCTCCAAATGTCCACTTGCAGATTCTAGAATAAGAGGGTTTCAGAGCTGCTCTGTCAAGAGGAAAGTTCAATTCCTGAAGTGGAACACAAACATCACAAAGCAGTTTCTGAGAATGCTTCTGTTTAGTTTTTCTGTGAAGATGAACCCGTTTCCAACGAAATCTTCACAGAGGTCCACATATCCACTTGCAGAATCCAAAGAAAGAGAGTTTCAAAACTGCTCCATCAGTAGGATTGTTCACCTCTGTGAGTTGAATGCAGTCATCACAGGAAACATTCTGAGAATGCTTCTGTCTAGGTTTGATGTGAAGATATACCCGTTTCGAAGGAAGGCCACAAAGTGGTCCAAATATCCACTTGCAGATTCTACAAAAAGAGTGTTTGAAAGCTGAACTATGAAAGCAAGGTTCAACTCTGTGAGTTGAATGCAAACATCACAAAGAAGTTTCTCAGAATGCTTCCGTGTAGTTCTGGGAAGTTTATCCCGTTTCCAACGAAATCCTCAGAGAAGTCCAAATATCCACTTGCAGATTCTACAGAAAGTGTGTTTGGAAACTGCTCCATCTAAAGGAATGTTCAGCTCTGTTAGTTCAATCCAATGATCACTAAGAATTGTCTGTGAATGCTTCCGTTTGGTTTTTAGATGAAGTTATTTCCTTTACTACAGTAGGCCTCAAAGCAGTCCAAATCTCCAATCGCAGATTCTACAAAAAGATTGTTTACAACCTGCTCTATGTATAGGAATGTTCAACTCTGTGAGTCGAATGCAATCATCACAAAGTAGTTTCTGAGAATGCTTCCATCTAGTTTCTATGTGAAGATTTTCCTTTTCCACCACAGGCCTCAAAGCCCTCCAAATGTCCACTTGCAGATTCTAGAAAAAGAGGGTTTCAGAGCTGCTCTGTCAAGAGGAAAGTTCAATTCTTGAAGTGGAACACAAACATAACAAAGCAGTTTCTGAGAATGCTCCTGTTTAGTTTTTCTGTGAAGATGAACCCGTTTCCAACGAAATCTTCACAGAGGTCCACATATCCACTTGCAGAATCCAAAGAAAGAGAGTTTCAAAACTGCTTCATCAGCAGGATTGTTCACCTCTGTGAGTTGACTGCAGTCATCACAGGAAACATTCTGAGAATGCTTCTGTCAAGGTTTGATGTGAAGATATACCCGTTTCGAAGGAAGACCACAAAGTGGTCAAAATATCCACTTGCAGATTCTACAAAAAGAGTGTTTGAAAGCTGAACTATGAAAGCAAGGTTCAACTCTGTGAGTTGAATGCAAACATCACAAAGAAGTTTCTCAGAATCCTTCCGTGTAGTTCTGGGAAGTATATCCCGTTTCCAACGAAATCCTCAGAGAGGTCCAAATATCCTCTTGCAGATTCTACAGAAAGTGGGTTTGGAAACTGCTCCATCTAAAGGAATCTTCAGCTCTGTTAGTTCAATCCAATGATCACTAAGCATTGTCTGTGAATGCTTCCGTTTGGTTTTTAGATGAAGTTATTTCCTTTACTACAGTAGGCCTCAAAGCAGTCCAAATCTCCAATCGCAGATTCTACAAAAAGATTGTTTACAACCTGCTCTCTCTATAGGAATGTTCAACTCTGTGAGTCGAATGCAATCATCACAAAGTAGTTTCTGAGAATGCTTCCATCTAGTTTTTATGTGAAGATTTTCCTTTTCCACCACAGGCCTCAAAGCCCTCCAAATGTCCACTTGCAGATTCTAGAAAAAGAGGGTTTCAGAGCTGCTCTGTCAAGAGGAAAGTTCAATTCTTGAAGTGGAACACAAACATCACAAAGCAGTTTCTGAGAATGCTTCTGTTTAGTTTTTCTGTGAAGATGAACCCGTTTCCAACGAAATCTTCACAGAGGTCCCCATATCCACTTGCAGAATCCAACGAAAGAGAGTTTCAAAACTACTCCATCAGCAGGATTGTTCACCTCTGTGAGTTGAATGCAGTCATCACAGGAAACATTCTGAGAATGCTTCTGTCTAGGTTTGATGTGAAGATATACCCGTTTCGAAGGAAGGCCACAAAGTGGTCCAAATATCCACTTGCAGATTCTACAAAAAGAGTGTTTGAAAGCTGAACTATGAAAGCAAGGTTCAACTCTGTGAGTTGAATGCAAACATCACAAAGAAGTTTCTCAGAATGCTTCCGTGTAGTTCTGGGAAGTTTATCCCGTTTCCAACGAAATCCTCAGAGAAGTCCAAATATCCACTTGCAGATTCTACAGAAAGTGTGTTTGGAAACTGCTCCATCTAAAGGAATGTTCAGCTCTGTTAGTTCAATCCAATGATCACTAAGAATTGTCTGTGAATGCTTCCGTTTGGTTTTTAGATGAAGTTATTTCCTTTACTACAGTAGGCCTCAAAGCAGTCCAAATCTCCAATCGCAGATTCTACAAAAAGATTGTTTACAACCTGCTCTATCTATAGGAATGTTCAACTCTGTGAGTCAAATGCAATCATCACAAAGTAGTTTCTGAGAATGCTTCCATCTAGTTTTTATGTGAAGATTTTCCTTTTCCACCACAGGCCTCAAAGCCCTCCAAATGTCCACTTGCAGATTCTAGAAAAAGAGGGTTTCAGAGCTGCTCTGTTAAGAGGAAAGTTCAATTCCTGAAGTGGAACACAAACATCACAAAGCAGTTTCTGAGAATGCTCCTGTTTAGTTTTTCTGTGAAGATGAACACGTTTCCAACGAAATCTTCACAGAGGTACACATATCCACTTGCAGAATCCAAAGAAAGAGAGTTTCAAAACTGCTCCATCAGCAGGATTGTTCACCTCTGTGAGTTGAATGCAGTCATCACAGGAAACATTCTGAGAATGCTTCTGTCTAGGTTTGATGTGAAGATATACCCGTTTCGAAGGAAGGCCACAAAGTGGTCCAAATATCCACTTGCAGATTCTACAAAAAGAGTGTTTGAAAGCTGAACTATGAAAGCAAGGTTCAACTCTGTGAGTTGAATGCAAACATCACAAAGAAGTTTCTCACAATGCTTCCGTGTAGTTCTGGGAAGTTTATCCCGTTTCCAACGAAATCCTCAGAGAAGTCCAAATATCCACTTGCAGATTCTACAGAAAGTGTGTTTGGAAACAGCGCCATCTAAAGGAGTGTTCAGCTCTGTTAGTTCAATCCAATGATCACTAAGAATTGTCTGTGAATGCTTCCGTTTGGTTTTTAGATGAAGTTATTTCCTTTACTACAGTAGGCCTCAAAGCAGTCCAAATCTCCAATCGCAGATTCTACAAAAAGATTGTTTACAACCTGCTCTATCTATAGGAATGTTCAACTCTGTGAGTCGAATGCAATCATCACAAAGTAGTTTCTGAGAATGCTTCCATCTAGTTTTTATGTGAAGATTTTCCTTTTCCACCACAGGCCTCAAAGCCCTCAGAATGTCCACTTGCAGATTCTAGAATAAGAGGGTTTCAGAGCTGCTCTGTAAAGAGGAAAGTTCAATTCCTGAAGTGGAACAAAAACATCACAAAGCAGTTTCTGAGAATGCTTCTGTTTAGTTTTTCTGTGAAGATGAACCCGTTTCCAACGAAATCTTCACAGAGGTCCACATATCCACTTGCAGAATCCAAAGAAAGAGAGTTTCAAAACTGCTCCATCAGCAGGATTGTTCACCTCTGTGAGTTGAATGCAGTCATCACAGGAAACATTCTGAGAATGCTTCTGTCTAGGTTTGATGTGAAGATATACCCGTTTCGAAGGAAGGCCACAAAGTGGTCCAAATATCCACTTGCAGATTCTACAAAAAGAGTGTTTGAAAGCTGAACTATGAAAGCAAGGTTCAACTCTGTGAGTTGAATGCAAACATCACAAAGAAGTTTCTCAGCATGCTTCCGTGTAGTTCTGGGAAGTTTATCCCGTTTCCAACGAAATCCTCAGAGAAGTCCAAATATCCACTTGCAGATTCTACAGAAAGTGTGTTTGGAAACTGCTCCATCTAAAGGAATGTTCAGCTCTGTTAGTTCAATGCAATGATCACTAAGAATTGTCTGTGAATGCTTCCGTTTGGTTTTTAGATGAAGTTATTTCCTTTACTACAGTAGGCCTCAAAGCAGTCCAAATCTCCAATCGCAGATTCTACAAAAAGATTGTTTACAACCTGCTCTATCTATAGGAATGTTCAACTCTGTGAGTCGAATGCAATCATCACAAAGTAGTTTCTTAGAATGCTTCCATCTAGTTTTTATGTGAAGATTTTCCTTTTCCACCACAGGCCTCAAAGCCCTCCAAATGTCCACTTGCAGATTCTAGAATAAGAGGGTTTCAGAGCTGCTCTGTCAAGAGGAAAGTTCAATTCCTGAAGTGGAACACAAACATCACAAAGCAGTTTCTGAGAATGCTTCTGTTTAGTTTTTCTGTGAAGATGAACCCGTTTCCAACGAAATCTTCACAGAGGTCCACATATCCACTTGCAGAATCCAAAGAAAGAGAGTTTCAAAACTGCTCCATCAGCAGGATTGTTCACCTCTGTGAGTTGAATGCAGTCATCACAGGAAACATTCTGAGAATGCTTCTGTCTAGATTTGATGTGAAGATATACCCGTTTCGAAGGAAGGCCACAAAGTGGTCCAAATATCCACTTGCAGATTCTACAAAAAGAGGGTTTGAAAGCTGAACTATGAAAGCAAGGTTCAACTCTCTGAGTTGAAAGCAAACATCACAAAGAAGTTTCTCAGAATGCTTCCGTGTAGTTCTGGGAAGTTTATCCCGTTTCCAACGAAATCCTCAGAGAGGTCCAAATATCCACTTGCAGATTCTACAGAAAGTGTGTTTGGAAACTGCGCCATCTAAAGGAATGTTCAGCTCTGTTAGTTCAATGCAATGATCACTAAGAATTGTCTGTGAATGCTTCCGTTTGGTTTTTATATGAAGTAATTTCCTTTACTACAGTAGGCCTCAAAGCAGTCCAAATCTCCAATCGCAGATTCTACAAAAAGATTGTTTACAACCTGCTCTATCTATAGGAATGTTCAACTCTGTGAGTCGAATGCAATCATCACAAAGTAGTTTCTGAGAATGCTTCCATAAAGTTTTTATGTGAAGATTTTCCTTTTCCACCACAGGCCTCAAAGCCCTCCAAATGTCCACTTGCAGATTCTAGAAAAAGAGGGTTTCAGAGCTGCTCTGTCAAGAGGAAAGTTCAATTCTTTAAGTGGAACACAAACATCACAAAGCAGTTTCTGAGAATGCTCCTGTTTAGTTTTTCTGTGAAGATGAACCCGTTTCCAACGAAATCTTCACAGAGGTCCACATATCCACTTGCAGAATCCAAAGAAAGAGAGTTTCAAAACTGCTCCATCAGCAGGATTGTTCACCTCTGTGAGTTGAATGCAGTCATCACAGGAAACATTCTGAGAATGCTTCTGTCTAGGTTTGATGTGAAGATATACCCGTTTCGAAGGAAGGCCACAAAGTGGTCCAAATATCCACTTGCAGATTCTACAAAAAGAGTGTTTGAAAGCTGAACTATGAAAGCAAGGTTCAACTCTGTGAGTTGAATGCAAACATCACAAAGAAGTTTCTCAGAATGCTTCCGTGTGGTTCTGGGAAGTTTATCCCGTTTCCAACGAAATCCTCAGAGAGGTCCAAATATCCACTTGCAGATTCTACAGAAAGTGTGTTTGGAAACTGCGCCATCTAAAGGAATGTTCAGCTCTGTTAGTTCAATGCAATGATCACTAAGAATTGTCTGTGAATGCTTCCGTTTGGTTTTTAGATGAAGTTATTTCCTTTACTACAGTAGGCCTCAAAGCAGTCCAAATCTCCAATCGCAGATTCTACAAAAAGATTGTTTACAACCTGCTCTATCTATAGGAATGTTCAACTCTGTGAGTCGAATGCAATCATCACAAAGTAGTTTCTGAGAATGCTTCCATCTAGTTTTTATGTGAAGATTTTCCTTTTCCACCACAGGCCTCAAAGCCCTCCAAATGTCCACTTGCAGATTCTAGAAAAAGAGGGTTTCAGAGCTGCTCTGTCAAGAGGAAAGTTCAATTCTTGAAGTGGAACACAAACATCACAAAGCAGTTTCTGAGAATGCTTCTGTTTAGTTTTTCTGTGAAGATGAACCCGTTTCCAACGAAATCTTCACAGAGGTCCACATATCCACTTGCAGAATCCAAAGAAAGAGAGTTTCAAAACTGCTCCATCAGCAGGATTGTTCACCTCTGTGAGTTGAATGCAGTCATCACAGGAAACATTCTGAGAATGCTTCTGTCTAGGTTTGATGTGAAGATATACCCGTTTCGAAGGAAGGCCACAAAGTGGTCCAAATATCTACTTGCAGATTCTACAAAAAGAGTGTTTGAAAGCTGAACTATGAAAGCAAGGTTCAACTCTGTGAGTTGAATGCAAACATCACAAAGAAGTTTCTCAGAATGCTTCCGTGTAGTTCTGGGAAGTTTATCCCGTTTCCAACGAAATCCTCAGAGAGGTCCAAATATCCACTTGCAGATTCTACAGAAAGTGTGTTTGGAAACTGCGCCATCTAAAGGAATGTTCAGCTCTGTTAGATCAATCCAATGATCACTAAGAATTGTCTGTGAATGCTTCCGTTTGGTTTTTAAATGAAGTTATTTCCTTTACTACAGTAGGCCTCAAAGCAGTGCAAATCTCCAATCGCAGATTCTACAAAAAGATTGTTTACAACCTGCTCTATCTATAGGAATGTTCAACTCTGTGAGTCGAATGCAATCATCACAAAGTAGTTTCTGAGAATGCTTCCATCTAGTTTTTATGTGAAGATTTTCCTTTTCCACCACAGGCCTCAAAGCCCTCCAAATGTCCACTTGCAGATTCTAGAATAAGAGGGTTTCAGAGCTGCTCTGTCAAGAGGAAAGTTCAATTCCTGAAGTCGAACACAGACATCACAAAGTAGTTTCTGAGAATGCTTCTGTTAATTTTTCTGTGAAGATGAACCCGTTTCCAACGAAATCTTCACAGAGGTCCACATATCAACTTGCAGAATCCAAAGAAAGAGAGTTTCAAAACTGCTCCATCAGCAGGATTGTTCACTTCTGTGAGTTGAATGCAGTCATCACAGGAAACATTCTGAGAATGCTTCTGTCTAGGTTTGATGTGAAGATATACCCGTTTCGAAGGAAGGCCACAAAGTGGTCCAAATATCCAGTTGCAGATTCTACAAAAAGAGTGTTTGAAAGCTGAACTATGAAAGCAAGGTTCAACTCTGTGAGTTGAATGCAAACATCACAAAGAAGTTTCTCAGAATGCTTCCGTGTAGTTCTGGGAAGTTTATCCCGTTTCCAACGAAATCCTCAGAGAGGTCCAAATATCCACTTGCAGATTCTACAGAAAGTGTGTTTGGAAACTGCGCCATCTAAAGGAATGTTCAGCTCTGTTAGTTCAATGCAATGATCACTAAGAATTGTCTGTGAATGCTTCCGTTTGGTTTTTAGATGAAGTTATTTCCTTTACTACAGTAGGCCTCAAAGCAGTCCAAATTTCCAATCGCAGATTCTACAAAAAGATTGTTTACAACCTGCTCTATCTATAGGAATGTTCAACTCTGTGAGTCGAATGCAATCATCACAAAGTAGTTTCTGAGAATGCTTCCATCTAGTTTTTATGTGAAGATTTTCCTTTTCCACCACAGGCCTCAAAGCCCTCCAAATGTCCACTTGCAGATTCTAGAATAAGAGGGTTTTAGAGCTGCTCTGTCAAGAGGAAAGTTCAATTCCTGAAGTGGAACACAAACATCACAAAGCAGTTTCTGAGAATGCTTCTGTTTAGTTTTTCTGTGAAGATGAACCCGTTTCCAACGAAATCTTCACAGAGGTCCACATATCCACTTGCAGAATCCAAAGAAAGAGAGTTTCAAAACTGCTCCATCAACAGGATTGTTCACCTCTGTGAGTTGAATGCAGTCATCACAGGAAACATTCTGAGAATGCTTCTGTCTAGGTTTGATGTGAAGATATACCCGTTTCGAAGGAAGGCCACAAAGTGGTCCAAATATCCACTTGCAGATTCTACAAAAAGAGTGTTTGAAAGCTGAACTATGAAAGCAAGGTTCAACTCTGTGAGTTGAATGCAAACATCACAAAGAAGTTTCTCACAATGCTTCCGTGTAGTTCTGGGAAGTTTATCCCGTTTCCAACGAAATCCTCAGAGAAGTCCAAATATCCACTTGCAGATTCTACAGAAAGTGTGTTTGGAAACTGCTCCATCTAAAGGAATGTTCCGCTCTGTTAGTTCAATCCAATGATCACTAAGAATTGTCTGTAAATGCTTCCGTTTGGTTTTTAGATGAAGTTATTTCCTTTACTACAGTAGGCCTGAAAGCAGTCCAAATCTCCAATCGCAGATTCTACAAAAAGATTGTTTACAACCTGCTCTATCTATAGGAATGTTCAACTCTGTGAGTCGAATGCAATCATCACAAAGTAGTTTCTGAGAATGCTTCCATCTAGTTTTTATGTGAAGATTTTCCTTTTCCACCACAGGCCTCAAAGCCCTCCAAATGTCCACTTGCAGATTCTAGAATAAGAGGGTTTCAGAGCTGCTCTGTCAAGAGGAAAGTTCAATTCCTGAAATGGAACACAAGCATCACAAAGCAGTTTCTGAGAATGCTTCTGTTTAGTTTTTCTGTGAAGATGAACCCGTTTCCAACGAAATCTTCACAGAGGTCCACATATCCACTTGCAGAATCCAAAGAAAGAGAGTTTCAAATCTGCTCCATCAGCAGGATTGTTCACCTCTGTGAGTTGAATGCAGTCATCACAGGAAACATTCTGAGAATGCTTCTGTCTAGGTTTGATGTGAAGATATACCCGTTTCGAAGGAAGGCCACAAAGTGGTCCAAATATCCACTTGCAGATTCTACAAAAAGAGTGTTTGAAAGCTGAACTATGAAAGCAAGGTTCAACTCTGTGAGTTGAATGCAAACATCACAAAGAAGTTTCTCAGAATGCTTCCGTGTAGTTCTGGGAAGTTTATCCCGTTTCCAACGAAATCCTCAGAGAGGTCCAAATATCCACTTGCAGATTCTACAGAAAGTGTGTTTGGAAACTGCTCCATCTAAAGGAATGTTCAGCTCTGTTAGTTCAATCCAATGATCACTAAGAATTGTCTGTGAATGCTTCCGTTTGGTTTTTAGATGAAGTTATTTCCTTTACTACAGTAGGCCTCAAAGCAGTCCAAATCTCCAATCGCAGATTCTACAAAAAGATTGTTTACAACCTGCTCTATCTATAGGAATGTTCAACTCTGTGAGTCGAATGCAATCATCACAAAGTAGTTTCTGAGAATGCTTCCATCTAGTTTTTATGTGAAGATTTTCCTTTTCCACCACAGGCCTCAAAGCCCTCCAAATGTCCACTTGCAGATTCTAGAATAAGAGGGTTTCAGAGCTGCTCTGTCAAGAGGAAAGTTCAATTCCTGAAGTGGAACACAAACATCACAAAGCAGTTTCTGAGAATGCTTCTGTTTAGTTTTTCTGTGAAGATGAACCCGTTTCCAACGAAATTTTCACAGAGGTCCACATATCCACTTGCAGAATGCAAAGAAAGAGAGTTTCAAAACTGCTCCATCAACAGGATTGTTCATCTCTGTGAGTTGAATGCAGTCATCACAGGAAACATTCTGAGAATGCTTCTGTCTAGGTTTGATGTGAAGATATACCCGTTCCGAAGGGAGGCCACAAAGTGGTCCAAATATCCACTTGCAGATTCTACAAAAAGAGTGTTTGAAAGCTGAACTATGAAAGCAAGGTTCAACTCTGTGAGTTGAATGCAAACATCACAAAGAAGTTTCTCAGAATGCTTCCGTGTAGTTCTGGGAAGTTTATCCCGTTTCCAACGAAATCCTCAGAGAGGTCCAAATATCCACTTGCAGATTCTACAGAAAGTGTGTTTGGAAACTACGCCATCTAAAGGAATGTTCAGCTCTGTTAGATCAATGCAATGATCACTAAGAATTGTCTGTGAATGCTTCCGTTTGGTTTTTAGATGAAGTTATTTCCTTTACTACAGTAGGCCTCAAAGCAGTCCAAATCTCCAATCGCAGATTCTACAAAAACATTGTTTACAACCTGCTCTATCTATAGGAATGTTCAACTCTGTGAGTCGAATGCAATCATCACAAAGTAGTTTCTGAGAATGCTTCCATCTAGTTTTTATGTGAAGATTTTCCTTTTCCACCACAGGCCTCAAATCCCTCCAAATGTCCACTTGCAGATTCTAGAAAAAGAGGGTTTCAGAGCTGCTCTGTCAAGAGGAAAGTTCAATTCTTGAAGTGGAACACAAACATCACAAAGCAGTTTCTGAGAATGCTCCTGTTTAGTTTTTCTGTGAAGATGAACCCGTTTCCAACGAAATCTTCACAGAGGTCCACATATCCACTTGCAGAATCCAAAGAAAGAGAGTTTCAAAACTGCTCCATCAGCAGGATTGTTCACCTCTGTGAGTTGAATACAGTCATCACAGGAAACATTCTGAGAATGCTTCTGTCTAGGTTTGATGTGAAGATATACCCTTTTCAAAGGAAGGCCACATAGTGGTCCAAATATCCACTTGCAGATTCTACAAAAAGAGTGTTTGAAAGCTGAACTATGAAAGCAAGGTTCAACTCTGTGAGTTGAATGCAAACATCACAAAGAAGTTTCTCAAAATGCTTCCGTGTAGTTCTGGGAAGTTTATCCCGTTTCCAACGAAATCCTCAGAGAAGTCCAAATATCCACTTGCAGATTCTACAGAAAGTGGGTTTGGCAACTGCTCCATGTAAAGGAATGTTCAGCTCTGTTAGTTCAATCCAATGATCACTAAGAATTGTCTGTGAATGCTTCCGTTTGGTTTTTAGATGAAGTTATTTCCTTTACTACAGTAGGCCTCAAAGCAATCCAAATCTCCAATCGCAGATTCTACAAAAACATTGTTTACAACCTGCTCTATCTATAGGAATGTTCAACTCTGTGAGTCGAATGCAATCATCACAAAGTAGTTTCTGAGAATGCTTCCATCTAGTTTTTATGGGAAGATTTTCCTTTTCCACCACAGGCCTCAAAGCCCTCCAAATGTCCACTTGCAGATTCTAGAAAAAGAGGGTTTCAGAGCTGCTCTGTCAAGAGGAAAGTTCAATTCTTGAAGTGGAACACAAACATCACAAAGCAGTTTCTGAGAATGCTCCTGTTTAGTTTTTCTGTGAAGATGAACCCGTTTCCAACGAAATCTTCACAGAGGTCCACATATCCACTTGCAGAATCCAAAGAAAGAGAGTTTCAAAACTGCTCCATCAGCAGGATTGTTCACCTCTGTGAGTTGAATGCAGTCATCACAGGAAACATTCTGAGAATGCTTCTGTCTAGGTTTGATGTGAAGATATACCCGTTTCGAAGGAAGGCCACAAAGTGGTCCAAATATCCACTTGCAGATTCTACAAAAAGAGTGTTTGAAAGCTGAACTATGAAAGCAAGGTTCAACTCTGTGAGTTGAATGCAAACATCACAAAGAAGTTTCTCACAATGCTTCCCTGTAGTTCTGGGAAGTTTATCCCGTTTCCAACGAAATCCTCAGAGAGGTCCAAATATCCACTTGCAGATTCTACAGAAAGTGTGTTTGGAAACTGCGCCATCTAAAGGAATGTTCAGCTCTGTTAGTTCAATGCAATGATCACTAAGAATTGTCTGTGAATGCTTCCGTTTGGTTTTTAGATGAAGTTATTTCCTTTACTACAGTAGGCCTCAAAGCAGTCCAAATCTCCAATCGCAGATTCTACAAAAAGATTGTTTACAACCTGCTCTATCTATAGGAATGTTCAACTCTGTGAGTCGAATGCAATCATCACAAAGTAGTTTCTGAGAATGCTTCCATCTAGTTTTTATGTGAAGATTTTCCTTTTCCACCACAGGCCTCAAAGCCCTCCAAATGTCCACTTGCAGATTCTAGAATAAGAGGGTTTCAGAGCTGCTCTTTCAAGAGGAAAGTTGAATTCCTGAAGTGGAACACAAACATCACAAAGCAGTTTCTGAGAATGCTTCTGTTTAGTTTTTCTGTGAAGATGAACCCGTTTCCAACGAAATCCTCACAGAGGTCCACATATCCACTTGCAGAATCCAAAGAAAGAGAGTTTCAAAACTGCTCCATCAGCAGGATTGTTCACCTCTGTGAGTTGAATGCAGTCATCACAGGAAACATTCTGAGAATGCTTCTGTCTAGGTTTGATGTGAAGATATACCCTTTTCAAAGGAAGGCCACAAAGTGGTCCAAATATCCACTTGCAGATTCTACAAAAAGAGTGTTTGAAAGCTGAACTATGAAAGCAAGGTTCAACTCTGTGAGTTGAATGCAAACATCACAAAGAAGTTTCTCACAATGCTTCCGTGTAGTTCTGGGAAGTTTATCCCGTTTCCAACGAAATCCTCAGAGACGTCCAAATATCCACTTGCAGATTCTAGAGAAAGTGGGTTTGGAAACTGCGCCATCTAAAGGAATGTTCAGCTCTGTTAGTTCAATCCAATGATCAGTAAGAATTGTCTGTGAATGCTTCCGTTTGGTTTTTAGATGAAGTTATTTCCTTTACTACAGTAGGCCTCAAAGCAGTCCAAATCTCCAATCGCAGATTCTACAAAAAGATTGTTTACAACCTGCTCTATCTATAGGAATGTTCAACTCTGTGAGTCGAATGCAATCATCACAAAGTAGTTTCTGAGAATGCTTCCATCTAGTTTTTATGTGAAGATTTTCCTTTTCCACCACAGGCCTCAAAGCCCTCCAAATGTCCACTTGCATATTCTAGAAAAAGAGGGTTTCAGAGCTGCTCTGTCAAGAGGAAAGTTCAATTCTTTAAGTGGAACACAAACATCACAAAGCAGTTTCTGAGAATGCTCCTGTTTAGTTTTTCTGTGAAGATGTACCCGTTTCCAACGAAATCTTCACAGAGTTCCACATATCCACTTGCAGAATCCAAAGAAAGAGAGTTTCAAAACTGCTCCAACAGCAGGATTGTTCACCTCTGTGAGTTGAATGCAGTCATCACAGGAAACATTCTGAGAATGCTTCTGTCTAGGTTTGATGTGAAGATATACCCGTTTCGAAGGAAGGCCACAAAGTGGTCCAAATATCCACTTGCAGATTCTACAAAAAGAGTGTTTGAAAGCTGAACTATGAAAGCAAGGTTCAACTCTGTGAGTTGAATGCAAACATCACAAAGAAGTTTCTCACAATGCTTCCGTGTAGTTCTGAGAAGTTTATCCCGTTTCCAACGAAATCCTCAGAGAAGTCCAAATATCCACTTGCAGATTCTACAGAAAGTGTGTTTGGAAACTGCTCCATCTAAAGGAATGTTCAGCTCTGTTAGTTCAATGCAATGATCACTAAGAATTTTCTGTGAATGCTTCCGTTTGGTTTTTAGATGAAGTTATTTCCTTTACTACAGTAGGCCTCAAAGCAGTCCAAATCTCCAATCGCAGATTCTACAAAAAGATTGTTTACAACCTACTCTATCTATAGGAATGTTCAACTCTGTGAGTCGAATGCAATCATCACAAAGTAGTTTCTGAGAATGCTTCCATCTAGTTTTTATGTGAAGATTTTCCTTTTCCACCACAGGCCTCAAAGCCCTCCAAATGTCCACTTGCAGATTCTAAAATAAGAGGGTTTCAGAGCTGCTCTGTCAAGAGGAAAGTTCAATTCCTGAAGTGGAACACAAACATCACAAAGCAGTTTCTGAGAATCCTTCTGTTTAGTTTTTCTGTGAAGATGAACCCGTTTCCAACGAAATCTTCACAGAGGTCCACATATCCACTTGCAGAATCCAAAGAAAGAGAGTTTCAAAACTGCTCCATCAGCAGGATTGTTCACCTCTGTGAGTTGAATGCAGTCATCACAGGAAACATTCTGAGAATGCTTCTGTCTAGGTTTGATGTGAAGATATACCCGTTTCGAAGGAAGGCCAGAAAGTGGTCCAAATATCCACTTGCAGATTCTACAAAAAGAGTGTTTGAAAGCTGAACTATGAAAGCAAGGTTCAACTCTGTGAGTTGAATGCAAACATCACAAAGAAGTTTCTCAGAATGCTTCCGTGTAGTTCTGGGAAGTTTATCCCGTTTCCAACGAAATCCTCAGAGAGGTCCAAATATCCACTTGCAGATTCTACAGAAAGTGTGTTTGGAAACTGCGCCATCTAAAGGAATGTTCAGCTCTGTTAGTTCAATCCAATGATCACTAAGAATTGTCTGTGAATGCTTCCGTTTGGTTTTTAGATGAAGTTATTGCCTTTACTACAAGTAGGCCTCAAAGCAGTCCAAATCTCCAATCGCAGATTCTACAAAAAGATTGTTTACAACCTGCTCTATCTATAGGAATGTTCAACTCTGTGAGTCGAATGCAATCATCACAAAGTAGTTTCTGAGAATGCTTCCATCTAGTTTTTATGTGAAGATTTTCCTTTTCCACCACAGGCCTCAAAGCCCTCCAAATGTCCACTTGCAGATTCTAGAATAAGAGGGTTTCAGAGCTGCTCTGTCAAGAGGAAAGTTCAATTCCTGAAGTGGAACACAATCGTCACAAAGCAGTTTCTGAGAATGCTTCTGTTTAGTTTTTCTGTGAAGATGAACCCGTTTCCAACGAAATCTTCACAGAGGTCCACATATCCACTTGCAGAATCCAAAGAAAGAGAGTTTCAAAACTGCTCCATCAGCAGGATTGTTCACCTCTGTGAGTTGAATGCAGTCATCACAGGAAACATTCTGAGAATGCTTCTGTCTAGGTTTGATGTGAAGATATACCCGTTTCGAAGGAAGGCCACAAAGTGGTCCAAATATCCACTTGCAGATTCTACAAAAAGAGTGTTTGAAAGCTGAACTATGAAAGCAAGGTTCAACTCTGTGAGTTGAATGCAAACATCACAAAGAAGTTTCTCAGAATGCTTCCGTGTAGTTCTGGGAAGTTTATCCCGTTTCCAACGAAATCCTCAGAGAGGTCCAAATATCCACTTGCAGATTCTACAGAAAGTGTGTTTGGAAACTGCTCCATCTAAAGGAATGTTCAGCTCTGTTAGTTCAATCCAATGATCACTAAGAATTGTCTGTGAATGCTTCCGTTTGGTTTTTAGATGAAGTTATTTCCTTTACTACAGTAGGCCTCAAAGCAGTCCAAATCTCCAATCGCAGATTCTACAAAAAGATTGTTTACAACCTGCTCTATGTATAGGAATGTTCAACTCTGTGAGTCGAATGCAATCATCACAAAGTAGTTTCTGAGAATGCTTCCATCTAGTTTTTATGGGAAGATTTTCCTTTTACACCACAGGCCTCAAAGCCCTCCAAATGTCCACTTGCAGATTCTAGAAAAAGAGGATTTCAGAGCTGCTCTGTCAAAAGGAAAGTTCAATTCTTCAAGTGGAACACAAACATCACAAAGCAGTTTCTGAGAATGCTCCTGTTAATTTTTCTGTGAAGATGAACCCGTTTCCAACGAAATCTTCACAGAGGTCCACATATCCACTTGCAGAATCAAAAGAAAGGGAGTTTCAAAACGGCTCCATCAACAGGATTGTTCACCTCTGTGAGTTGAATGCAGTCATCACAGGAAACATTCTGAGAATGCTTCTGTCTAGGTTTGATGTGAAGATATACCCATTTCGAAGGAAGGCCACAAAGTGGTCCAAATATCCACTTGCAGATTCTACAAAAAGAGTGTTTGAAAGCTGAACTATGAAAGCAAGGTTCAACTCTGTGAGTTGAATGCAAACATCACAAAGAAGTTTCTCAGAATGCTTCCGTGTAGTTCTGGGAAGTTTATCCCGTTTCCAACGAAATCCTCAGAGAAGTCCAAATATCCACTTGCAGATTCTACAGAAAGTGTGTTTGTAAACTGCTCTATCTAAAGGAATGTTCAGCTCTGTTTGTTCAATCCAATGATCACTAAGAATTGTCTGTGAATTCTTCCGTTTGGTTTTTAGATGAAGTTATTTCCTTTACTACAGTAGGCCTCAAAGCAGTCCAAATCTCCAATCGCAGATTCTACAAAAAGATTGTTTACAACCTGCTCTATCTATAGGAATGTTCAACTCTGTGAGTCGAATGCAATCATCACAAAGTAGTTTCTGAGAATGCTTCCATCTAGTTTTTATGTGAAGATTTTCCTTTTCCACCACAGGCCTCAAAGCCCTCCAAATGTCCACTTGCAAATTCTAGAATAAGAGGGTTTCAGAGCTGCTCTGTCAAGAGGAAAGTTCAATTCCTGAAGTGGAACACAAACATCACAAAGCAGTTTCTGAGAATGCTTCTGTTTAGTTTTTCTGTGAAGATGAACCCGTTTCCAACGAAATCTTCACAGAGGTCCACATATCCACTTGCAGAATCCAAAGAAAGAGAGTTTCAAAACTGCTCCATCAGCAGGATTGTTCACCTCTGTGAGTTGAATGCAGTCATCACAGGAAACATTCTGAGAATGCTTCTGTCTAGGTTTGATGTGAAGATATACCCGTTTCGAAGGAAGGCCACAAAGTGGTCCAAATATCCACTTGCAGATTCTACAAAAAGAGTGTTTGAAAGCTGAACTATGAAAGCAAGGTTCAACTCTGTGAGTTGAATGCAAACATCACAAAGAAGTTTCTCAGAATGCTTCCGTGTAGTTCTGGGAAGTTTATCCCGTTTCCAACGAAATCCTCAGAGAAGTCCAAATATCCACTTGCAGATTCTACAGAAAGTGGGTTTGGAAACTGCTCCATCTAAAGGAATGTTCAGCTCTGTTAGTTCAATGCAATGATCACTAATAATTGTCTGTGAATGCTTCCGTTTGGTTTTTAGATGAAGTTATTTCCTTTACTACAGTAGGCCTCAAAGCAGTCCAAATCTCCAATCGCAGATTCTACAAAAAGATTGTTTACAACCTGCTCTATCTATAGGAATGTTCAACTCTGTGAGTCGAATGCAATCATCACAAAGTAGTTTCTGAGAATGCTTCCATCTAGTTTTTATGTGAAGATTTTCCTTTTGCACCACAGGCCTCAAAGCCCTCCAAATGTCCACTTGCAGATTCTAGAAAAAGAGGGTTTCAGAGCTGCTCTGTCAAGAGGAAAGTTCAATTCTTGAAGTGGAACACAAACATCACAAAGCAGTTTCTGAGAATGCTCCTGTTTAGTTTTTCTGTGAAGATGAACCCGTTTCCAACGAAATCTTCACAGAGGTCCACATATCCACTTGCAGAATCCAAAGAAAGAGAGTTTCAAAACTGCTCCATCAGCAGGATTGTTCACCTCTGTGAGTTGAATGCAGTCATCACAGGAAACATTCTGAGAATGCTTCTGTCTAGGTTTGATGTGAAGATATACCCGTTTCGAAGGAAGGTCACAAAGTGGTCCAAATATCCACTTGCAGATTCTACAAAAAGAGTGTTTGAAAGCTGATCTATGAAAGCAAGGTTCAACTCTGTGAGTTGAATGCAAACATCACAAAGAAGTTTCTCACAATGCTTCCGTGTAGTTCTGGGAAGTTTATCCCGTTTCCAACGAAATCCTCAGAGAAGTCCAAATATCCACTTGCAGATTCTACAGAAAGTGTGTTTGGAAACTGCTCCATCTAAAGGAATGTTCAGCTCTGTTAGTTCAATCCAATGATCACTAAGAATTGTCTGTGAATGCTTCCGTTTGGTTTTTAGATGAAGTTATTTCCTTTACTACAGTAGGCCTCAAAGTAGTCCAAATCTCCAATCGCAGATTCTACAAAAAGATTGTTTACAACCTGCTCTACCTATAGGAATGTTCAACTCTGTGAGTCGAATGCAATCATCACAAAGTAGTTTCTGAGAATGCTTCCATCTAGTTTTTATGTGAAGATTTTCCTTTTCCACTACAGGCCTCAAAGCCCTCCAAATGTCCACTTGCAGATTCTAGAAAAAGAGGGTTTCAGAGCTGCTCTGTCAAGAGGAAAGTACAATTCTTGAAGTGGAACACAAGCATCACAAAGCAGTTTCTGAGAATGCTCCTGTTTAGTTTTTCTGTGAAGATGAACCGGTTTCCAACGAAATCTTCACAGAGGTCCACATATCCACTTGCAGAATCCAAAGAAAGAGAGTTTCAACACTGCTCCATCAGCAGGATTGTTCACCTCTGTGAGTTGAATGCAGTCATCACAGGAAACATTCTGAGAATGCTTCTGTCTAGGTTTGATGTGAAGATATACCCGTTTCGAAGGAAGGCCACAAAGTGGTCCAAATATCCACTTGCAGATTCTACAAAAAGAGTGTTTGAAAGCTGAACTATGAAAGCAAGGTTCAACTCTGTGAGTTGAATGCAAACATCACAAAGAAGTTTCTCACAATGCTTCCCTGTAGTTCTGGGAAGCATATCCCGTTTCCAACGAAATCCTCAGAGAAGTCCAAATATCCACTTGCAGATTCTACAGAAAGTGGGTTTGGAAACTGCTCCATCTAAAGGAATGTTCAGCTCTGTTAGTTCAATCCAATGATCACTAAGAATTGTCTGTGAATGCTTCCGTTTGGTTTTTAGATGAAGTTATTTCCTTTACTACAGTAGGCCTCAAAGCAGTCCAAATCTCCAATCGCAGATTCTACAAAAAGATTGTTTACAACCTGCTCTATCTATAGGAATGTTCAACTCTGTGAGTCGAATGCAATCATCACAAAGTAGTTTCTGAGAATGCTTCCATCTAGTTTTTATGGGAAGATTTTCCTTTTCCACCACAGGCCTCAAAGCCCTCCAAATGTCCACTTGCAGATTCTAGAAAAAGAGGGTTTCAGAGCTGCTCTGTCAAGAGGAAAGTTCAATTCTTGAAGTGGAACACAAACATCACAAAGCAGTTTCTGAGAATGCTCCTGTTTAGTTTTTCTGTGAAGATGAACCCGTTTCCAACGAAATCTTCACAGAGGTCCACATATCCACTTGCAGAATCCAAAGAAAGAGAGTTTCAAAACTGCTCCATCAACAGGATTGTTCACCTCTGTGAGTTGAATGCAGTCATCACAGGAAACATTCTGAGAATGCTTCTGTCTAGGTTTGATGTGAAGATATACCCGTTTCGAAGGAAGGCCACAAAGTGGTCCAAATATCCACTTGCAGATTCTACAAAAAGAGTGTTTGAAAGCTGAACTATGAAAACAAGGTTCAACTCTATGAGTTGAATGCAAACATCACAAAGAAGTTTCTCACAATGCTTCCGTGTAGTTCTGGGAAGTTTATCCCGTTTCCAACGAAATCCTCAGAGAAGTCCAAATATCCACTTGCAGATTCTACAGAAAGTGGGTTTGGAAACTGCTCCATCTAAAGGAATGTTCAGCTCTGTTAGTTCAATCCAATGATCACTAAGAATTGTCTGTGAATGCTTCCGTTTGGTTTTTAGATGAAGTTATTTCCTTTACTACAGTAGGCCTCAAAGCAGTCCAAATCTCCAATCGCAGATTCTACAAAAAGATTGTTTACAACCTGCTCTATATATAGGAATGTTCAACTCTGTGAGTCGAATGCAATCATCACAAAGTAGTTTCTGAGAATGCTTCCATCTAGTTTTTATGTGAAGATTTTCCTTTTCCACCACAGGCCTCAAAGCCCTCCAAATGTCCACTTGCAGATTCTAGAATAAGAGGGTTTCAGAGCTGCTCTGTCAAGAGGAAAGTTCAATTCTTGAAGTGGAACACAAACATCACAAAGCAGTTTCTGAGAATGCTTCTGTTTAGTTTTTCTGTGAAGATGAACCCGTTTCCAACGAAATCTTCACAGAGGTCCACATATCCACTTGCAGAATCCAAAGAAAGAGAGTTTCAAAACTGCTCCATCAGCAGGATTGTTCACCTCTGTGAGTTGAATGCAGTCATCACAGGAAACATTCTGAGAATGCTTCTGTCTAGGTTTGATGTGAAGATATACCCGTTTCGAAGGAAGGCCACAAAGTGGTCCAAATATCCACTTGCAGATTCTACAAAAAGAGTGTTTGAAAGCTGAACTATGAAAGCAAGGTTCAACTCTGTGAGTTGAATGCAAACATCACAAAGAAGTTTCTCAGAATGCTTCCGTGTAGTTCTGGGAAGTTTATCCCGTTTCCAACGAAATCCTCAGAGAGGTCCAAATATCCACTTGCAGATTCTACAGAAAGTGTGTTTGGAAACTGCTCCATCTAAAGGAATGTTCAGCTCTGTTAGTTCAATCCAATGATCACTAAGCATTGTCTGTGAATGCTTCCGTTTGGTTTTTAGATGAAGTTATTTCCTTTACTACAGTAGGCCTCAAAGCAGTCCAAATCTCCAATCGCAGATTCTACAAAAAGATTGTTTACAACCTGCTCTATCTATAGGAATGTTCAACTCTGTGAGTCGAATGCAATCATCACAAAGTAGTTTCTGAGAATGCTTCCATCTAGTTTTTATGTGAAGATTTTCCTTTTCCACCACAGGCCTCAAAGCCCTCCAAATGTCAACTTGCAGATTCTAGAATAAGAGGGTTTCAGAGCTGCTCTGTCAAGAGGAAAGTTCAATTCCTGAAGTGGAACACAAACATCACAAAGCAGTTTCTGAGAATGCTTCTGTTTAGTTTTTCTGTGAAGATGAACCCGTTTCCAACGAAATCTTCACAGAGGTCCACATAGCCACTTGCAGAATCCAAAGAAAGAGAGTTTCAAAACTGCTCCATCAGCAGGATTGTTCACCTCTGTGAGTTGAATGCAGTCATCACAGGAAACATTCTGAGAATGCTTCTGTCTAGGTTTGATGTGAAGATATACCCGTTTCCAAGGAAGGCCACAAAGTGGTCCAAATATCCACTTGCAGATTCTACAAAAGGAGTGTTTGAAAGCTGAACTATGAAAGCAAGGTTCAACTCTGTGAGTTGAATGCAAACATCACAAAGAAGTTTCTCACAATGCTTCCGTGTAGTTCTGGGAAGTTTATCCCGTTTCCAACGAAATCCTCAGAGAGGTCCAAATATCCACTTGCAGATTCTACAGAAAGTGTGTTTGGAAACTGCGCCATCTAAAGGAATGTTCAGCTCTGTTAGTTCAATGCAATGATCACTAAGAATTGTCTGTGAATGCTTCCGTTTGTTTTTTAGATGAAGTTATTTCCTTTACTACAGTAGACCTCAAAGCAGTCCAAATCTCCAATCACAGATTCTACAAAAAGATTGTTTACAACCTACTCTATCTATAGGAATTTTCAACTCTGTGAGTCGAATGCAATCATCACAAAGTAGTTTCTGAGAATGCTTCCATCTAGTTTTTATGTGAAGAATTTCCTTTTCCACCACAGGCCTCAAAGCCCTCCAAATGTCCACTTGCAGATTCTAGAAAAAGAGGGTTTCAGAGCTGCTCTGTCAAGAGGAAAGTTCAATTCCTGAAGTGGAACACAAACATCACAAAGCAGTTTCTGAGAATGCTTCTGTTTAGTTTTTCTGTGAAGATGAACCCGTTTCCAACGAAATCTTCACAGAGGTCCACATATCCACTTGCAGAATCCAAAGAAAGAGAGTTTCAAAACTGCTCCATCAACAGGATTGTTCACCTCTGTGAGGTGAATGCAGTCATCACAGGAAACATTCTGAGAATGCTTCTGTCTAGGTTTGATATGAAGATATACCCGTTTCGAACGAAGGCCACAAAGTGGTCCAAATATCCACTTGCAGATTCTACAAAAAGAGTGTTTGAAAGCTGAACTATGAAAGCAAGGTTCAACTCTGTGAGTTGAATGCAAACATCACAAAGAAGTTTCTCAGAATGCTTCCCTGTAGTTCTGGGAAGTTTATCCCGTTTCCAACGAAATCCTCAGAGAAGTCCAAATATCCACTTGCAGATTCTACAGAAAGTGTGTTTGGAAACTGCTCCATCTAAAGGAATGTTCAGCTCTGTTAATTCAATGCAATGATCACTAAGAATTGTCTGTGAATGCTTCCGTTTGGTTTTTAGATGAAGTTATTTCCTTTACTACAGTAGGCCTCAAAGCAGTCCAAATCTCCAATCGCAGATTCTACAAAAAGATTGTTTACAACCTGCTCTATCTATAGGAATGTTCAACTCTGTGAGTCGAATGCAATCATCACAAAGTAGTTTCTGAGAATGCTTCCATCTAGTTTTTATGTGAAGATTTTCCTTTTCCACCACAGGCCTCAAAGCCCTCCAAATGTCCACTTGCAGATTCTAGAAAAAGAGGGTTTCAGAGCTGCTCTGTCAAGAGGAAAGTTCAATTCTTGAAGTGGAACACAAACATCACAAAGCAGTTTCTGAGAATGCTTCTGTTTAGTTTTTCTGTGAAGATGAACCCGTTTCCAACGAAATCTTCACAGAGGTCCACATATCCACTTGCAGAATCCAAAGAAAGAGAGTTTCAAAACTGCTCCATCAACAGGATTGTTCACCTCTGTGAGTTGAATGCAGTCATCACAGGAAACATTCTGAGAATGCTTCTGTCTAGGTTTGATGTGAAGATATACCCGTTTCGAAGGAAGGCCACAAAGTGGTCCAAATATCCACTTGGAGATTCTACAAAAAGAGTGTTTGAAAGCTGAACTATGAAAGCAAGGTTCAACTCTGTGAGTTGAATGCAAACATCACAAAGAAGTTTCTCACAATGCTTCCGTGTAGTTCTGGGAAGTTTATCCCGTTTCCAACGAAATCCTCAGAGAAGTCCAAATATCCACTTGCAGATTCTACAGAAAGTGGGTTTGGAAACTGCTCCATCTAAAGGAATGTTCAGCTCTGTTAGTTCAATCCAATGATCACTAAGAATTGTCTGTGAATGCTTCCGTTTGGTTTTTAGATGAAGTAATTTCCTTTACTACAGAAGGCCTCAAAGCAGTCCAAATCTCCAATCGCAGATTCTACAAAAAGATTGTTTACAACCTGCTCTATCTATAGGAATGTTCAACTCTGTGAGTCGAATGCAATCATCACAAAGAAGTTTCTGAGAATGCTTCCATAAAGTTTTTATGTGAAGATTTTCCTTTTCCACCACAGGCCTCAAAGCCCTCCAAATGTCCACTTGCAGATTCTAGAAAAAGAGGGTTTCAGAGCTGCTCTGTCAAGAGGAAAGTTCAATTCTTTAAGTGGAACACAAACATCACAAAGCAGTTTCTGAGAATGCTCCTGTTTAGTTTTTCTGTGAAGATGAACCCGTTTCCAACGAAATCTTCACAGAGGTCCACATATCCACTTGCAGAATCCAAAGAAAGAGAGTTTCAAAACTGCTCCATCAGCAGGATTGTTCACCTCTGTGAGTTGAATGCAGTCATCACAGGAAACATTCTGAGAATGCTTCTGTCTAGGTTTGATGTGAAGATATACCCGTTTCGAAGGAAGGCCACAAAGTGGTCCAAATATCCACTTGCAGATTCTACAAAAAGAGTGTTTGAAAGCTGAACTATGAAAGCAAGGTTCAACTCTGTGAGTTGAATGCAAACATCACAAAGAAGTTTCTCAGAATGCTTCCGTGTAGTTCTGGGAAGTTTATCCCGTTTCCAACGAAATCCTCAGAGAGGTCCAAATATCCACTTGCAGATTCTACAGAAAGTGTGTTTGGAAACTGCTCCATCTAAAGGAATGTTCAGCTCTGTTAGTTCAATCCAATGATCACTAAGAATTGTCTGTGAATGCTTCCGTTTGGTTTTTAGATGAAGTTATTTCCTTTACTACAGTAGGCCTCAAAGCAGTCCAAATCTCCAATCGCAGATTCTACAAAAAGATTGTTTACAACCTGCTCTATCTATAGGAATGTTCAACTCTGTGAGTCGAATGCAATCATCACAAAGTAGTTTCTGAGAATGCTTCCATCTAGTTTTTATGTGAAGATTTTCCTTTTCCACCACAGGCCTCAAAGCCCTCCAAATGTCCACTTGCAGATTCTAGAAAAAGAGGGTTTCAGAGCTGCTCTGTCAAGAGGAAAGTTCAATTCTTGAAGTGGAACACAAACATCACAAAGTAGTTTCTGAGAATGCTTCTGTTTAGTTTTTCTGTGAAGATGAACCCGTTTCCAACGAAATCTTCACAGAGGTCGACATATCCACTTGCAGAATCCAAAGAAAGAGAGTTTCAAAACTGCTCCATCAGCAGGATTGTTCACCTCTGTGAGTTGAATGCAGTCATCACAGGAAACATTCTGAGAATGCTTCTGTCTAGGTTTGATGTGAAGATATACCCGTTTCGAAGGAAGGCCACAAAGTGGTCCAAATATCCACTTGCAGATTCTACAAAAAGAGTGTTTGAAAGCTGAACTATGAAAGCAAGGTTCAACTCTGTGAGTTGAATGCAAACATCACAAAGAAGTTTCTCACAATGCTTCCGTGTAGTTCTGGGAAGTTTATCCCGTTTCCAACGAAATCCTCAGAGAAGTCCAAATATCCACTTGCAGATTCTACAGAAAGTGTGTTTGGAAACTGCTCCATCTAAAGGAATGTTCAGCTCTGTTAGTTCAATGCAATGATCACTAAGAATTGTCTGTGAATGCTTCCGTTTGGTTTTTAGATGAAGTTATTTCCTTTACTACAGTAGGCCTCAAAGCAGTCCAAATCTCCAATCGCAGATTCTACAAAAAGATTGTTTACAACCTGCTCTATCTATAGGAATGTTCAACTCTGTGAGTCGAATGCAATCATCACAAAGTAGTTTCTGAGAATGCTTCCATCTAGTTTTTATGTGAAGATTTTCCTTTTCCACCACAGGCCTCAAAGCCCTCCAAATGTCCACTTGCAGATTCTAGAAAAAGAGGGTTTCAGAGCTGCTCTGTCAAGAGGAAAGTTCAATTCTTGAAGTGGAACACAAACATCACAAAGCAGTTTCTGAGAATGCTTCTGTTTAGTTTTTCTGTGAAGATGAACCCGTTTCCAACGAAATCTTCACAGAGGTCCACATATCCACTTGCAGAATCCAAAGAAAGAGAGTTTCAAAACTGCTCCATCAGCAGGATTGTTCACCTCTGTGAGTTGAATGCAGTCATCACAGGAAACATTCTGAGAATGCTTCTGTCTAGGTTTGATGTGAAGATATACCCTTTTCAAAGGAAGGCCACAAAGTGGTCCAAATATCCACTTGCAGATTCTACAAAAAGAGTGTTTGAAAGCTGAACTATGAAAGCAAGGTTCAACTCTGTGAGTTGAATGCAAACATCACAAAGAAGTTTCTCACAATGCTTCCGTGTAGTTCTGGGAATTTTATCCCGTTTCCAACGAAATCCTCATAGAAGTCCAAATATCCACTTGCAGATTCTACAGAAAGTGTGTTTGGAAAATGCTCCATCTAAAGGAATGTTCAGCTCTGTTAGTTCAATCCAATGATCACTAAGAATTGTCTGTGAATGCTTCCGTTTGGTTTTTAGATGAAGTTATTTCCTTTACTACAGTAGGCCTCAAAGCAGTCCAAATCTCCAATCGCAGATTCTACAAAAAGATTGTTTACAACCTGCTCTATCTATAGGAGTGTTCAACTCTGTGAGTCGAATGCAATCATCACAAAGTAGTTTCTGAGAATGCTTCCATCTAGTTTTTATGTGAAGATTTTCCTTTTCCACCACAGGCCTCAAAGCCCTCCAAATGTCCACTTGCAGATTCTAGAAAAAGAGGGTTTCAGAGCTGCTCTTTGAAGAGGAAAGTTCAATTCCTGAAGTGGAACACAAACATCACAAAGCAGTTTCTGAGAATGCTTCTGTTTAGTTTTTCTGTGAAGATGAACCCGTTTCCAACGAAATCTTCACAGAGGTCCACATATCCACTTGCAGAATCCAAAGAAAGAGAGTTTCAAAACTGCTCCATCAGCAGGATTGTTCACCTCTGTGAGTTGAATGCAGTCATCACAGGAAACATTCTGAGAATGCTTCTGTCTAGGTTTGATGTGAAGATATACCCTTTTCAAAGGAAGGCCACAAAGTGGTCCAAATATCCACTTGCAGATTCTACAAAAAGAGTGTTTGAAAGCTGAACTATGAAAGCAAGGTTCAACTCTGTGAGTTGAATGCAAACATCACAAAGAAGTTTCTCAAAATGCTTCCGTGTAGTTCTGGGAAGTTTATCCCGTTTCCAACGAAATCCTCAGAGAAGTCCAAATATCCACTAGCAGATTCTACAGAAAGTGTGTTTGGCAACTGCTCCATCTAAAGGAATGTTCAGCTCTGTTAGTTCAATCCAATGATCACTAAGAATTGTCTGTGAATGCTTCCGTTTGGTTTTTAGATGAAGTTATTTCCTTTACTACAGTAGGCCTCAAAGCAATCCAAATCTCCAATCGCAGATTCTACAAAAACATTGTTTACAACCTGCTCTATCTATAGGAATGTTCAACTCTGTGAGTCGAATGCAATCATCACAAAGTAGTTTCTGAGAATGCTTCCATCTAGTTTTTATGTGAAGATTTTCCTTTTCCACCACAGGCCTCAAAGCCCTCCAAATGTCCACTTGCAGATTCTAGAAAAAGAGGGTTTCAGAGCTGCTCTGTCAAGAGGAAAGTTCAATTCTTGAAGTGGAACACAAACATCACAAAGTAGTTTCTGAGAATGCTCCTGTTTAGTTTTTCTGTGAAGATGAACCCGTTTCCAACGAAATCTTCACAGTAGGTCCACATATCCACTTGCAGAATCCAAAGAAAGAGAGTTTCAAAACTGCTCCATCAACAGGATTGTTCACCTCTGTGAGTTGAATGCAGTCATCACAGGAAACATTCTGAGAATGCTTCTGTCTAGGTTTGATGTGAAGATATACCCGTTTCGAAGGAAGGCCACAAAGTGGTCCAAATATCTACTTGCAGATTCTACAAAAAGAGTGTTTGAAAGCTGAACTATGAAAGCAAGGTTCAACTCTGTGAGTTCAATGCAAACATCACAAAGAAGTTTCTCAGAATGCTTCCGTGTAGTTCTGGGAAGTTTATCCCGTTTCCAACGAAATCCTCAGAGAAGTCCAAATATCCACTTGCAGATTCTACAGAAAGTGGGTTTGGAAACTGCTCCATCTAAAGGAATGTTCAGCTCTGTTAGTTCAATCCAATGATCACTAAGAATTGTCTGTGAATGCTTCCGTTTGGTTTTTAGATGAAGTTATTTCCTTTACTACAGTAGGCCTCAAAGCAGTCCAAATCTCCAATCGCAGATTCTACAAAAACATTGTTTACAACCTGCTCTATCTATAGGAATGTTCAACTCTGTGAGTCGAATGCAATCATCACAAAGTAGTTTCTGAGAATGCTTCCATCTAGTTTTTATGTGAAGATTTTCCTTTTCCACCACAGGCCTCAAAGCCCTCCAAATGTCCACTTGCAGATTCTAGAAAAAGAGGGTTTCAGAGCTGCTCTGTCAAGAGGAAAGTTCAATTCTTGAAGTGGAACACAAACATCACAAAGTAGTTTCTGAGAATGCTTCTGTTTAGTTTTTCTGTGAAGATGAACCCGTTTCCAACGAAATCTTCACAGAGGTCCACATATCAACTTGCAGAATCCAAAGAAAGAGAGTTTCAAAACTGCTCCATCAACAGGATTGTTCACCTCTGTGAGTTGAATGCAGTCATCACAGGAAACATTCTGAGAATGCTTCTGTCTAGGTTTGATGTGAAGATATACCCGTTTCGAAGGAAGGCCACAAAGTGGTCCAAATATCCACTTGCAGATTCTACAAAAAGAGTGTTTGAAAGCTGAACTATGAAAGCAAGGTTCAACTCTGTGAGTTGAATGCAAACATCACAAAGAAGTTTCTCAGAATGCTTCCGTGTAGTTCTGGGAAGTTTATCCCGTTTCCAACGAAATCCTCAGAGAAGTCCAAATATCCACTTGCAGATTCTACAGAAAGTGCGTTTGGAAAATGCTCCATCTAAAGGAATGTTCAGCTCTGTTAGTTCAATCCAATGATCACTAAGAATTGTCTGTGAATGCTTCCGTTTGGTTTTTAGATGAAGTTATTTCCTTTACTACAGTAGGCCTCAAAGCAGTCCAAATCTCCAATCGCAGATTCTACAAAAAGATTGTTTACAACCTGCTCTATCTATAGGAATGTTCAACTCTGTGAGTCGAATGCAATCATCACAAAGTAGTTTCTGAGAATGCTTCCATCTAGTTTTTATGTGAAGATTTTCCTTTTCCACCACAGGCCTCAAAGCCCTCCAAATGTCCACTTGCAGATTCTAGAAAAAGAGGGTTTCAGAGCTGCTCTGTCAAGAGGAAAGTTCAATTCTTGAAGTGGAACACAAACATCACAAAGTAGTTTCTGAGAATGCTTCTGTTTAGTTTTTCTGTGAAGATGAACCCGTTTCCAACGAAATCTTCACAGAGGTCCACATATCCACTTGCAGAATCCAAAGAAAGAGAGTTTCAAAACTGCTCCATCAACAGGATTGTTCACCTCTGTGAGTTGAATGCAGTCATCACAGGAAACATTCTGAGAATTCTTCTGTCTAGGTTTGATGTGAAGATATACCCGTTTCGAAGGAAGGCCACAAAGTGGTCCAAATATCCACTTGCAGATTCTACAAAAAGAGTGTTTGAAAGCTGAACTATGAAAGCAAGGTTCAACTCTGTGAGTTGAATGCAAACATCACAAAGAAGTTTCTCAGAATGCTTCCCTGTAGTTCTGGGAAGTTTATCCCGTTTCCAACGAAATCCTCAGAGAAGTCCAAATATCCACTTGCAGATTCTACAGAAAGTGGGTTTGGAAACTGCTCCATCTAAAGGAATGTTCAACTCTGTTAGTTCAATCCAATGATCACTAAGAATTGTCTGTGAATACTTCCGTTTGGTTTTTAGATGAAGTTATTTCCTTTACTACAGTAGGCCTCAAAGCAGTCCAAATCTCCAATCGCAGATTCTACAAAAAGATTGTTTACAACCTGCTCTATCTATAGGAATATTCAACTCTGTGAGTCGAATGCAATCATCACAAAGTAGTTTCTGAGAATGCTTCCATCTAGTTTTTATGTGAAGATTTTCCTTTTCCACCACAGGCCTCAAAGCCCTCCAAATGTCCACTTGCAGATTCTAGAAAAAGAGGGTTTCAGAGCTGCTCTGTCAAGAGGAAAGTTCAATTCTTGAAGTGGAACACAAACATCACAAAGTAGTTTCTGAGAATGCTTCTGTTTAGTTTTTCTGTGAAGATGAACCCGTTTCCAACGAAATCTTCACAGAGGTCCACATATCAACTTGCAGAATCCAAAGAAAGAGAGTTTCAAAAGTGCTCCATCAACAGTATTGTTCACCTCTGTGAGTTGAATGTAGTCATCACAGGAAACATTCTGAGAATGCTTCTGTCTAGGTTTGATGTGAAGATATACCTGTTTCGAAGGAAGGCCACAAAGAGGTCCAAATATCCACTTGCAGATTCTACAAAAAGAGTGTTTGAAAGCTGAACTATGAAAGCAAGGTTCAACTGTGTGAGTTGAATGCAAACATCACAAAGAAGTTTCTCAGCATGCTTCCGTGTAGTTCTGGGAAGTTTATCCCGTTTCCAACGAAATCCTCAGAGACGTCCAAATATCCACTTGCAGATTCTACAGAAAGTGGGTTTGGAAACTGCGCCATCTAAAGGAATGTTCAGCTCTGTTAGTTCAATGCAATGATCACTAAGAATTGTCTGTGAATGCTTCCGTTTGGTTTTTAGATGAAGTTATTTCCTTTACTACAGTAGGCCTCAAAGCAGTCCAAATCTCCAATCGCAGATTCTACAAAAAGATTGTTTACAACCTGCTCTATCTATAGGAATGTTCAACTCTGTGAGTCGAATGCAATCATCACAAAGTAGTTTCTGAGAATGCTTCCATCTAGTTTTTATGTGAAGATTTTCCTTTTCCACCACAGGCCTCAAAGCCCTCCAAATGTCCACTTGCAGATTCTAGAAAAAGAGGGTTTCAGAGCTGCTCTGTCAAGAGGAAAGTTCAATTGTTGAAGTGGAACACAAACATCACAAAGTAGTTTGCTGAGAATGCTCCTGTTTTATTTTTTCTGTGAAGATGAACCCGTTTCCAAGGAAATCTTCACAGAGGTCCACATATCCACTTGCAGAATCCAAAGAAAGGGAGTTTCAAAACTGCTCCATCAGCAGGATTGTTCACCTCTGTGAGTTGAATGCAGTCATCACAGGAAACATTCTGAGAATGCTTCTGTCTAGGTTTGATGTGAAGATATACCCTTTTCAAAGGAAGGCCACAAAGTGGTCCAAATATCCACTTGCAGATTCTACAAAAAGAGTGTTTGAAAGCTGAACTATGAAAGCAAGGTTCAACTCTGTGAGTTGAATGCAAACATCACAAAGAAGTTTCTCACAATGCTTCCGTGTAGTTCTGGGAAGTTTATCCCGTTTCCAACGAAATCCTCAGAGAAGTCCAAATATCCACTTGCAGATTCTACAGAAAGTGGGTTTGGCAACTGCTCCATCTAAAGGAATGTTCAGCTCTGTTAGTTCAATCCAATGATCACTAAGAATTGTCTGTGAATGCTTCCGTTTGGTTTTTAGATGAAGTTATTTCCTTTACTACAGTAGGCCTCAAAGCAGTCCAAATCTCCAATCGCAGATTCTACAAAAACATTGTTTACAACCTGCTCTATCTATAGGAATGTTCAACTCTGTGAGTCGAATGCAATCATCACAAAGTAGTTTCTGAGAATGCTTCCATCTAGTTTTTATGTGAAGATTTTCCTTTTCCACCACAGGCCTCAAAGCCCTCCAAATGTCCACTTGCAGATTCTAGAAAAAGAGGGTTTCAGAGCTGCTCTGTCAAGAGGAAAGTTCAATTCTTGAAGTGGAACACAAACATCACAAAGCAGTTTCTGAGAATGTTCCTGTTTAGTTTTTCTGTGAAGATGAACCCGTTTCCAAAGAAATCATCACAGAGGTCCACATATCCACTTGCAGAATCCAAAGAAAGAGAGTTTCAAAACTGCTCCATCAGCAGGATTGTTCACCTCTGTGAGTTGAATGCAGTCATCACAGGAAACATTCTGAGAATGCTTCTGTCAATGTTTGATGTGAAGATATACCCGTTTCGAAGGAAGGCCACAAAGTGGTCCAAATATCCACTTGCAGATTCTACAAAAAGAGTGTTTGAAAGCTGAACTATGAAAGCAAGGTTCAACTCTGTGAGTTGAATGCAAACATCACAAAGAAGTTTCTCAGAATACTTCCGTGTAGTTCTGGGAACTATATCCCGTTTCCAACGAAATCCTCAGAGAGGTCCAAATATCCACTTGCAGATTCTACAGAAACTGGGTTTGGAAACTGCTCCATCTAAAGGAATGTTCAGCTCTGTTAGTTCAATCCAATGATCACTAAGCATTGTCTGTGAATGCTTCCGTTGGGTTTTTAGATGAAGTTATTTCCTTTACTACAGTAGGCCTCAAAGCAGTCCAAATCTCCAATCGCAGATTCTACAAAAGATTGTTTACAACCTGCTCTATCTATAGGAATGTTCAACTCTGTGAGTCGAATGCAATCATCACAAAGTAGTTTCTGAGAATGCTTCCATCTAGTTTTTATGTGAAGATTTTCCTTTTCCACCACAGGCCTCAAAGCCCTCCAAATGTCCACTTGCAGATTCTAGAAAAAGAGGGTTTCAGAGCTGCTCTGTCAAGAGGAAAGTTCAATTCTTGAAGTGGAACACAAACATCACAAAGCAGTTTCTGAGAATGCTTCTGTTTAGTTTTTCTGTGAAGATGAACCCGTTTCCAACGAAATCTTCACAGAGGTCCACATATCCACTTGCAGAATCCAAAGAAAGAGAGTTTCAAAACTGCACCATCAACAGGATTCTTCACCTCTGTGAGTTGAATGCAGTCATCACAGGAAACATTCTGAGAATGCTTCTGTCTAGGTTTGATGTGAAGATATACCCGTTTCGAAGGAAGGCCACAAAGTGGTCCAAATATCCACTTGCAGATTCTACAAAAAGAGTGTTTGAAAGCTGAACTATGAAAGCAAGGTTCAACTCTGTGAGTTGAATGCAAACATCACAAAGAAGTTTCTCACAATGCTTCCGTGTAGTTCTGGGAAGTTTATCCCGTTTCCAACGAAATCCTCAGAGAAGTCCAAATATCCACTTGCAGATTCTACAGAAAGTGTGTTTGGAAAATGCTCCATCTAAAGGAATGTTCAGCTCTGTTAGTTCAATGCAATGATCACTAAGAATTGTCTGTGAATGCTTCCGTTTGGTTTTTAGATGAAGTTATTTCCTTTACTACAGTAGGCCTCAAAGCAGTCCAAATCTCCAATCGCAGATTCTACAAAAACATTGTTTACAACCTGCTCTATCTATAGGAATGTTCAACTCTGTGAGTCGAATGCAATCATCACAAAGTAGTTTCTGAGAATGCTTCCATCTAGTTTTTATGGGAAGATTTTCCTTTTCCACCACAGGCCTCAAAGCCCTCCAAATGTCCACTTGCAGATTCTAGAAAAAGAGGGTTTCAGAGCTGCTCTGTCAAGAGGAAAGTTCAATTCTTGAAGTGGAACACAAACATCACAAAGCAGTTTCTGAGAATGCTCCTGTTTAGTTTTTCTGTGAAGATGAACCCGTTTCCAACGAAATCTTCACAGAGGTCCACATATCCACTTGCAGAATCCAAAGAAAGAGAGTTTCAAAACTGCTCCATCAGCAGGATTGTTCACCTCTGTGAGTTGAATGCAGTCATCACAGGAAACATTCTGAGAATGCTTCTGTCTAGGTTTGATGTGAAGATATACCCGTTTCGAAGGAAGGCCACAAAGTGGTCCAAATATCCACTTGCAGATTCTACAAAAAGAGTGTTTGAAAGCTGAACTATGAAAGCAAGGTTTCAACTCTGTGAGTTGAATGAAAACATCACAAAGAAGTTTCTCACAATGCTTCCGTGTAGTTCTGAGGAAGTTTATCCCGTTTCCAACGAAATCCTCAGAGAAGTCCAAATATCCACTTGCAGATTCTACAGAAAGTGTGTTTGGAAACTGCTCCATCTAAAGGAATGTTCAGCTCTGTTAGTTCAATGCAATGATCACTAAGAATTGTCTGTGAATGCTTCCGTTTGGTTTTTAGATGAAGTTATTTCCTTTACTACAGTAGGCCTCAAAGCAGTCCAAATCTCCAATCGCAGATTCTACAAAAAGATTGTTTACAACCTGCTCTATCTATAGGAATGTTCAACTCTGTGAGTCGAATGCAATCATCACAAAGTAGTTTGTGAGAATGCTTCCATCTAGTTTTTATGTGAAGATTTTCCTTTTCCACCACAGGCCTCAAAGCCCTCCAAATGTCCACTTGCAGATTCTAGAAAAAGAGGGTTTCAGAGCTGCTCTGTCAAGAGGAAAGTTCAATTCTTGAAGTGGAACACAAACATCACAAAGTAGTTTCTGAGAATGCTTCTGTTTAGTTTTTCTGTGAAGATGAACCCGTTTCCAACGAAATCTTCACAGAGGTCCACATATCCACTTGCAGAATCCAAAGAAAGAGAGTTTCAAAACTGCTCCATCAGCAGGATTGTTCACCTCTGTGAGTTGAATGCAGTCATCACAGGAAACATTCTGAGAATGCTTCTGTCTAGGTTTGATGTGAGGATATACCCGTTTCGAAGGAAGGCCACAAAGTGGTCCAAATATCCACTTGCAGATTCTACAAAAAGAGTGTTTGAAAGCTGAACTATGAAAGCAAGGTTCAACTCTGTGAGTTGAATGCAAACATCACAAAGAAGTTTCTCAGAATGCTTCCGTGTAGTTCTGGGAAGTTTACCCGTTTCCAACGAAATCCTCAGAGAGGTCCAAATATCCACTTGCAGATTCTACAGAAAGTGGGTTTGGAAACTGCTCCATCTAAAGGAATGTTCAGCTCTGTTAGTTCAATGCAATGATCACTAAGAATTGTCTGTGAATGCTTCCGTTTGGTTTTTAGATGAAGTTATTTCCTTTACTACAGTAGGCCTCAAAGCAGTCCAAATCTCCAATCGCAGATTCTACAAAAAGATTGTTTACAACCTGCTCTATCTATAGGAATGTTCAACTCTGTGAGTCGAATGCAATCATCACAGAGTAGTTTCTGAGAATGCTTCCATCTAGTTTTTATGTGAAGATTTTCCTTTTCCACCACAGGCCTCAAAGCCCTCCAAATGTCCACTTGCAGATTCTAGAATAAGAGGGTTTTAGAGCTGCTCTGTCAAGAGGAAAGTTCAATTCCTGAAGTGGAACACAAACATCACAAAGCAGTTTCTGAGAATGCTTCTGTTTAGTTTTTCTGTGAAGATGAACCCGTTTCCAACGAAATCTTCACAGGAGGTCCACATATCCACTTGCAGAATCCAAAGAAAGAGAGTTTCAAAACTACTCCATCAACAGGATTGTTCACCTCTGTGAGTTGAATGCAGTCATCACAGGAAACATTCTGAGAATGCTTCTGTCTAGGTTTGATGTGAAGATATACCCGTTTCGAAGGAAGGCCACAAAGTGGTCCAAATATCCACTTGCAGATTCTACAAAAAGAGTGTTTGAAAGCTGAACTATGAAAGCAAGGTTCAACTCTGTGAGTTGAATGCAAACATCACAAAGAAGTTTCTCAGAATGCTTCCGTGTAGTTCTGGGAAGTTTATCCCGTTTCCAACGAAATCCTCAGAGAGGTCCAAATATCCACTTGCAGATTCTACAGAAAGTGTGTTTGGAAACTGCGCCATCTAAAGGAATGTTCAGCTCTGTTAGTTCAATGCAATGATCACTAAGAATTGTCTGTGAATGCTTCCGTTTGGTTTTTAGATGAAGTTATTTCCTTTACTACAGTAGGCCTCAAAGCAGTCCAAATCTCCAATCGCAGATTCTACAAAAAGATTGTTTACAACCTGCTCTATCTATAGGAATGTTCAACTCTGTGAGTCGAATGCAATCATCACAAAGTAGTTTCTGAGAATGCTTCCATCTAGTTTTTATGTGAAGATTTTCCTTTTCCACCACAGGCCTCAAAGCCGTCCAAATGTCCACTTGCAGATTCTAGAAAAAGAGGGTTTCAGAGCTGCTCTGTCAAGAGGAAAGTTCAATTCTTGAAGTGGAACACAAACATCACAAAGCAGTTTCTGAGAATGCTTCTGTTTAGTTTTTCTGTGAAGATGAACCCGTTTCCAACGAAATCTTCACAGAGGTCCACATATCAACTTGCAGAATCCAAAGAAAGAGAGTTTCAAAACTGCTCCATCAACAGGATTGTTCACCTCTGTGAGTTGAATGCAGTCATCACAGGAAACATTCTGAGAATGCTTCTGTCTAGGTTTGATGTGAAGATATACCCGTTTCGAAGGAAGGCCACAAAGTGGTCCAAATATCCACTTGCAGATTCTACAAAAAGAGTGTTTGAAAGCTGAACTATGAAAGCAAGGTTCAACTCTGTGAGTTGAATGCAAACATCACAAAGAAGTTTCTCAGAATGCTTCCGTGTAGTTCTGGGAAGTTTATCCCGTTTCCAACGAAATCCTCAGAGAGGTCCAAATATCCACTTGCAGATTCTACAGAAAGTGTGTTTGGAAACTGCTCCATCTAAAGGAATCTTCAGCTCTGTTAGTTCAATCCAATGATCACTAAGAATTGTCTGTGAATGCTTCCGTTTGGTTTTTAGATGAAGTTATTTCCTTTACTACAGTAGGCCTCAAAGCAGTCCAAATCTCCAATCGCAGATTCTACAAAAAGATTGTTTACAACCTGCTCTATCTATAGGAATGTTCAACTCTGTGAGTCGAATGCAATCATCACAAAGTAGTTTCTGAGAATGCTTCCATCTAGTTTTTATGTGAAGATTTTCCTTTTCCACCACAGGCCTCAAAGCCCTCCAAATGTCCACTTGCAGATTCTAGAAAAAGAGGGTTTCAGAGCTGCTCTGTCAAGAGGAAAGTTCAATTCTTGAAGTGGAACACAAACATCACAAAGCAGTTTCTGAGAATGCTTCTGTTTAGTTTTTCTGTGAAAATGAACCCGTTTCCAACGAAATCTTCACAGAGATCCACATATCCACTTGCAGAATCCAAAGAAAGAGAGATTCAAAACTGCTCCATCAACAGGATTGTTCACCTCTGTGAGTTGAATGCAGTCATCACAGGAAACATTCTGAGAATGCTTCTGTCTAGGTTTGATGTGAAGATATACCCGTTTCGAAGGAAGGCCACAAAGTGGTCCAAATATCCACTTGCAGATTCTATAAAAAGAGTGTTTGAAAGCTGAACTATGAAAGCAAGGTTCACCTCTGTGAGTTGAATGCAAACATCACAAAGAAGTTTCTCAGAATGCTTCCGTGTAGTTCTGGGAAGTTTATCCTGTTTCCAACGAAATCCTCAGAGAGGTCCAAATATCCACTTGCAGATTCTACAGAAAGTGTGTTTGGAAACTGCTCCATCTAAAGGAATGTTCAGCTCTGTTAGTTCAATCCAATGATCACTAAGAATTGTCTGTGAATGCTTCCGTTTGGTTTTTAGATGAAGTTATTTCCTTTACGACAGTAGGCCTCAAAGCAGTCCAAATCTCCAATCGCAGATTCTACAAACAGATTGTTTACAACCTGCTCTATCTATAGGAATGTTCAACTCTGTGAGTCGAATGCAATCATCCCAAAGTAGTTCCTGAGAATGCTTCCATCTAGTTTTTATGTGAAGATTTTCCTTTTCCACCAGAGGCCTCAAAGCCCTCCAGATGTCCACTTGCAGACTCTAGAAAAAGAGGGTTTCAGAGCTGCTCTGTCAAGAGGAAAGTTCAATTCTTGAAGTGGAACACAAACATCACAAAGCAGTTTCTGAGAATGCTTCTGTTTATTTTTTCTGTGAAGATGAACCCGTTTCCAACGAAATCTTCACAGAGGTCCACATATCCACTTGCAGAATCCAAAGAAAGAGAGTTTCAAAACTGCTCCATCAGCAGGATTGTTCACCTCTGTGAGTTGAATGCAGTCATCACAGGAAACATTCTGAGAATGCTTCTGTCTAGGTTTGATGTGAAGATATACCCGTTTCGAAGGAAGGCCACAAAGTGGTCCAAATATCCACTTGCAGATTCTACAAAAAGAGTGTTTGAAAGCTGAACTATGAAAGCAAGGTTCAACTCTGTGAGTTGAATGCAAACATCACAAAGAAGTTTCTCACAATGCTTCCGTGTAGTTCTGGGAAGTTTATCCCGTTTCCAACGAAATCCTCAGAGAAGTCCAAATATCCACTTGCAGATTCTACAGAAAGTGGGTTTGGAAACTGCTCCATCTAAAGGAATGTTCAGCTCTGTTAGTTCAATCCAATGATCACTAAGAATTGTCTGTGAATGCTTCCGTTTGGTTTTTAGATGAAGTTATTTCCTTTACTACAGTAGGCCTCAAAGCAGTCCAAATCTCCAATCGCAGATTCTACAAAAAGATTGTTTACAACCTGCTCTATCTATAGGAATGTTCAACACTGTGAGTCGAATGCAATCATCGCAAAGTAGTTTCTGAGAATGCTTCCATCTAGTTTTTATGTGAAGATTTTCCTTTTCCACCACAGGCCTCAAAGCCCTCCAAATGTCCACTTGCAGATTCTAGAATAAGAGGGTTTCAGAGCTGCTCTGTCAAGAGGAAAGTTCAATTCCTGAAGTGGAACACAAACATCACAAAGCAGTTTCTGAGAATGCTTCTGTTTAGTTTTTCTGTGAAGATGAACCCGTTTCCAACGAAATCTTCACAGAGGTCCACATATCCACTTGCAGAATCCAAAGAAAGAGAGTTTCAAAACTGCTCCATCAGCAGCATTGTTCACCTCTGTGAGTTGAATGCAGTCATCACAGGAAACATTCTGAGAATGCTTCTGTCTAGGTTTGATGTGAAGATATACCCGTTTCGAAGGAAGGCCACAAAGTGGTCCAAATATCCACTTGCAGATTCTACAAAAAGAGTGTTTGAAAGCTGAACTATGAAAGCAAGGTTCAACTCTGTGAGTTGAATGCAAACATCACAAAGAAGTTTCTCACAATGCTTCCGTGTAGTTCTGGGAAGTTTATCCGGTTTCCAACGAAATCCTCAGAGAAGTCCAAATATCCACTTGCAGATTCTACAGAAAGTGGATTTGGAAACTGCTCCATCTAAAGGAATGTTCAGCTCTGTTAGTTCAATCCAATGATCACTAAGAATTGTCTGTGAATGCTTCCGTTTGATTTTTAGATGAAGTTATTTCCTTTACTACAGTAGGCCTCAAAGCAGTCCAAATCTCCAATCGCAGATTCTACAAAAAGATTGTTTACAACCTGCTCTATCTATAGGAATGTTCAACTCTGTGAGTCGAATGCAATCATCACAAAGTAGTTTCTGAGAATGCTTCCATCTAGTTTTTATGTGAAGATTTTCCTTTTCCACCACAGGCCTCAAAGCCCTCCAAATGTCCACTTGCAGATTCTAGAAAAAGAGGGTTTCAGAGCTGCTCTGTCAAGAGGAAAGTTCAATTCCTGAAGTGGAACACAAACATCACAAAGCAGTTTCTGAGAATGCTCCTGTTTAGTTTTTCTGTGAAGATGAACCCGTTTCCAACGAAATCTTCACAGAGGTCCACATATCCACTTGCAGAATCCAAAGAAAGGGAGTTTCAAAACTGCTCCATCAGCAGGATTGTTCACCTCTGTGAGTTGAATGCAGTCATCACAGGAAACATTCTGCGAATGCTTCTGTCTAGGTTTGATGTGAAGATATACCCGTTTCGAAGGAAGGCCACAAAGTGGTCCAAATATCCACTTGCAGATTCTACAAAAAGAGTGTTTGAAAGCTGAACTATGAAAGCAAGGTTCAACTCTGTGAGTTGAATGCAAACATCACAAAGAAGTTTCTCAGAATGCTTCCGTGTAGTTCTGGGAAGTTTATCCCGTTTCCAACGAAATAATCAGAAAAGTCCAAGTATCCACTTGCAGATTCTACAGAAAGTGTGTTTGGAAACTGCTCCATCTAAAGGAATGTTCAGCTCTGTTAGTTCAATCCAATGATCACTGAGAATTGTCTGTGAATGCTTCCGTTTGGTTTTTAGATGAAGTTATTTCCTTTACTACAGTAGGCCTCAATGCAGTCCAAATCTCCAATCGCAGATTCTACAAAAAGATTGTTTACAACCTGCTCTATCTATAGGAATGTTCAACTCTGTGAGTCGAATGCAATCATCACAAAGTAGTTTCTGAGAATGCTTCCATCTAGTTTTTATGTGAAGATTTTCCTTTTCCACCACAGGCCTCAAAGCCCTCCAAATGTCCACTTGCAGATTCTAGAAAAAGAGGGTTTCAGAGCTGCTCTGTCAAGAGGAAAGTTCAATTCTTGAAGTGGAACACAAACATCACAAAGTAGTTTCTGAGAATGCTTCTGTTTAGTTTTTCTGTGAAGATGAACCCGTTTCCAACGAAATCTTCACAGAGGTCCACATATCCACTTGCAGAATCCAAAGAAAGAGAGTTTCAAAACTGCTCCATCAGCAGGATTGTTCACCTCTGTGAGTTGAATGCAGTCATCACAGGAAACATTCTGAGAATGCTTCTGTCTAGGTTTGATGTGAAGATATACCCGTTTCGAAGGAAGGCCACAAAGTGGTCCAAATATCCACTTGCAGATTCTACAAAAAGAGTGTTTGAAAGCTGAACTATGAAAGCAAGGTTCAACTCTGTGAGTTGAATGCAAACATCACAAAGAAGTTTCTCACAATGCTTCCGTGTAGTTCTGGGAAGTTTATCCCGTTTCCAACGAAATCCTCAGAGAAGTCCAAATATCCACTTGCAGATTCTACAGAAAGTGTGTTTGGAAACTGCTCCATCTAAAGGAATGTTCAGCTCTGTTAGTTCAATCCAATGATCACTAAGAATTGTCTGTGAATGCTTCCGTTTGGTTTTTAGATGAAGTTATTTCCTTTACTACAGTAGGCCTCAAAGCAGTCCAAATCTCCAATCGCAGATTCTACAAAAACATTGTTTACAACCTGCTCTATCTATAGGAATGTTCAACTCTGTGAGTCGAATGCAATCATCACAAAGTAGTTTCTGAGAATGCTTCCATCTAGTTTTTATGTGAAGATTTTCCTTTTCCACCACAGGCCTCAAAGCCCTCCAAATGTCCACTTGCAGATTCTAGAAAAAGAGGGTTTCAGAGCTGCTCTGTCAAGAGGAAAGTTCAATTCTTGAAGTGGAACACAAACATCACAAAGCAGTTTCTGAGAATGCTCCTGTTTAGTTTTTCTGTGAAGATGAACCCGTTTCCAACGAAATCTTCACAGAGGTCCACATATCCACTTGCAGAATCCAAAGAAAGAGAGTTTCAAATCTGCTCCATCAGCAGGATTGTTCACCTCTGTGAGTTGAATGCAGTCATCACAGGAAACATTCTGAGAATGCTTCTGTCTAGGTTTGATGTGAAGATATACCCGTTTCGAAGGAAGGCCACAAAGTGGTCCAAATATCCACTTGCAGATTCCACAAAAAGAGTGTTTGAAAGCTGAACTATGAAAGCAAGGTTCAACTCTGTGAGTTGAATGCTAACATCACAGAGAAGTTTCTCACAATGCTTCCGTGTAGTTCTGGGAAGTTTATCCCGTTTCCAACGAAATCCTCAGAGAAGTCCAAATATCCACTTGCAGATTCTACAGAAAGTGTGTTTGGAAACTGCTCCATCTAAAGGAATGTTCAGCTCTGTTAGTTCAATCCAATGATCACTAAGAATTGTCTGTGAATGCTTCCGTTTGGTTTTTAGATGAAGTTATTTCCTTTACTACAGTAGGCCTCAAAGCAGTCCAAATCTCCAATCGCAGATTCTACAAAAAGATTGTTTACAACCTGCTCTATCTATAGGAATGTTCAACTCTGTGAGTCGAATGCAATCATCACAAAGTAGTTTCTGAGAATGCTTCCATCTAGTTTTTATGTGAAGAGTTTCCTTTTCCACCACAGGCCTCAAAGCCCTCCAAATGTCCACTTGCAGATTCTAGAAAAAGAGGGTTTCAGAGCTGCTCTGTCGAGAGGAAAGTTCAATTCTTGAAGTGGAACACAAACATCACAAAGCAGTTTCTGAGAATGCTCCTGTTTAGTTTTTCTGTGAAGATGAACCCGTTTCCAACGAAATCTTCACAGAGGTCCACATATCCACTTGCAGAATCCAAAGAAAGAGAGTTTCAAAACTGCTCCATCAGCAGGATTGTTCACCTCTGTGAGTTGAATGCAGTCATCACAGGAAACATTCTGAGAATGCTTCTGTCTAGGTTTGATGTGAAGATATACCCGTTTCGAAGGAAGGCCACAAAGTGGTCCAAATATCCACTTGCAGATTCTACAAAAAGAGTGTTTGAAAGCTGAACTATGAAAGCAAGGTTCAACTCTGTGAGTTGAATGCAAACATCACAAAGAAGTTTCTCACAATGCTTCCGTGTAGTTCTGGGAAGTTTATCCCGTTTCCAACGAAATCCTCAGAGAAGTCCAAATATCCACTTGCAGATTCTACAGAAAGTGTGTTTGGAAACTGCGCCATCTAAAGGAATGTTCAGCTCTGTTAGTTCAATGCAATGATCACTAAGAATTGTCCTGTGAATGCTTCCGTTTGGTTTTTAGTATGAAGTTATTTCCTTTACTACAGTAGGCCTCAAAGCAGTCCAAATCTCCAATCGCATATTCTACAAAAAGATTGTTTACAACCTGCTCTATCTATAGGAATGTTCAACTCTTTGAGTCGAATGCAATCATCACAAAGTAGTTTCTGAGAATGATTCCATCTAGTTCTTATGTGAAGATTTTCCTTTTCCACCACAGGCCTCAAAGCCCTCCAAATGTCCACTTGCAGATTCTGGAAAAAGAGGGTTTCAGAGCTGCTCTGTCAAGAGGAAAGTTCAATTCTTGAAGTGGAACACAAACATCACAAAGCAGTTTCTGAGAATGCTTCTGTTTAGTTTTTCTGTGAAGATGAACCCGTTTCCAACGAAATCTTCACAGAGGTCCACATATCCACTTGCAGAATCCAAAGAAAGAGAGTTTCAAAACTGCTCCATCAGCAGGATTGTTCACCTCTGTGAGTTGAATGCAGTCATCACAGGAAACATTCTGAGAATGCTTCTGTCTAGGTTTGATGTGAAGATATACCCGTTTCGAAGGAAGGCCACAAAGTGGTCCAAATATCCACTTGCAGATTCTACAAAAAGAGTGTTTGAAAGCTGAACTATGAAAGCAAGGTTCAACTCTGTGAGTTGAATGCAAACATCACAAAGAAGTTTCTCAGAATGCTTCCGTGTAGTTCTGGGAAGTTTATCCCGTTTCCAACGAAATCCTCAGAGAGGTCCAAATATCCACTTGCAGATTCTACAGAAAGTGTGTTTGGAAACTGCTCCATCTAAAGGAATGTTCAGCTCTGTTAGTTCAATGCAATGATCACTAAGAATTGTCTGTGAATGCTTCCGTTTGGTTTTTAGATGAAGTTATTTAATTTACTACAGTAGGCCTCAAAGCAGTCTAAATCTCCAATCGCAGATTCTACAAAAAGATTGTTTACAACCTGCTCTATCTATAGGAATGTTGAACTCTGTGAGTCGAATGCAATCATCACAAAGTAGTTTCTGAGAATGCTTCCATCTAGTTTTTATGTGAAGATTTTCCTTTTCCACCACAGGCCTCAAAGCCCTCCAAATGTCCACTTGCAGATTCTAGAATAAGAGGGTTTCAGAGCTGCTCTGTCAAGAGGAAAGTTCAATTCCTGAAGTGGAACACAAACATCACAAAGCAGTTTCTGAGAATGCTTCTGTTTAGTTTTTCTGTGAAGAAGAACCCGTTTCCAACGAAATCTTCACAGAGGTCCACATATCCACTTGCAGAATCCAAAGAAAGAGAGTTTCAAAACTGCTCCATCAGCAGGATTGTTCACCTCTGTGAGTTGAATGCAGTCATCACAGGAAACATTCTGAGAATGCTTCTGTCTAGGTTTGATGTGAAGATATACCCGTTTCGAAGGAAGGCCACAATGTGGTCCAAATATCCACTTGCAGATTCTACAAAAAGAATGTTTGAAAGCTGAACTATGAAAGCAAGGTTCAACTCTGTGAGTTGAATGCAAACATCACAAAGAAGTTTCTCACAATGCTTCCGTGTAGTTCTGGGAAGTTTATCCCGTTTCCAACGAAATCCTCAGAGAGGTCCAAATATCCACTTGCAGATTCTACAGAAAGTGTGTTTGGAAACTGCGCCATCTAAAGGAATGTTCAGCTCTGTTAGTTCAATGCAATGATCACTAAGAATTGTCTGTGAATGCTTCCGTTTGGTTTTTAGATGAAGTTATTTCCTTTACTACAGTAGGCCTCAAAGCAGTCCAAATCTCCAATCGCAGATTCTACAAAAAGATTGTTTACAACCTGCTCTATCTATAGGAATGTTCAACTCTGTGAGTCGAATGCAATCATCACAAAGTAGTTTCTGAGAATGCTTCCATCTAGTTTTTATGTGAAGATTTTCCTTTTCCACCACAGGCCTCAAAGCCCTCCAAATGTCCACTTGCAGATTCTAGAATAAGAGGGTTTCAGAGCTGCTCTGTCAAGAGGAAAGTTCAATTCCTGAAGTGGAACACAAACATCACAAAGCAGTTTCTGAGAATGTTTCTGTTTAGTTTTTCTGTGAAGATGAACCCGTTTCCAACGAAATCTTCACAGAGGTCCACATATCCACTTGCAGAATCCAAAGAAAGAGAGTTTCAAAACTGCTCCATCAGCAGGATTGTTCACCTCTGTGAGTTGAATGCAGTCATCACAGGATACATTCTGAGAATGCTTCTGTCTAGGTTTGATGTGAAGATATACCCGTTTCGAAGGAAGGCCACAAAGTGGTCCAAATATCCACTTGCAGATTCTACAAAAAGAGTGTTTGAAAGCTGAACTATGAAAGCAAGGTTCAACTCTGTGAGTTGAATGCAAACATCACAAAGAAGTTTCTCACAATGCTTCCGTGTAGTTCTGGGAAGTTTATCCCGTTTCCAACGAAATCCTCAGAGAGGTCCAAATATCCACTTGCAGATTCTACAGAAAGTGTGTTTGGAAACTGCGCCATCTAAAGGAATGTTCAGCTCTGTTAGTTCAATCCAATGATCACTAAGAATTGTCTGTGAATGCTTCCGTTTGGTTTTTAGATGAAGTTATTTCCTTTACTACAGTAGGCCTCAAAGCAGTCCAAATCTCCAATCGCAGATTCTACAAAAAGATTGTTTACAACCTGCTCTATCTATAGGAATGTTCAACTCTGTGAGTCGAATGCAATCATCACAAAGTAGTTTCTGAGAATGCTTCCATCTAGTTCTTATGTGAAGATTTTCCTTTTCCACCACAGGCCTCAAAGCCCTCCAAATGTCCACTTGCAGATTCTAGAAAAAGAGGGTTTCAGAGCTGCTCTGTCAAGAGGAAAGTTCAATTCTTGAAGTGGAACACAAACAACACAAAGCAGTTTCTGAGAATGCTTCTGTTTAGTTTTTCTGTGAAGATGAACCCGTTTCCAACGAAATCTTCAAAGAGGTCCACATATCCACTTGCAGAATCCAAAGAAAGAGAGTTTCAAAACTGCTCCATCAACAGGATTGTTCACATCTGTGAGTCCAATGCGGTCATCACAGGAAACATTCTGAGAATGCTTCTGTCTAGGTTTGATGTGAAGATATACCCGTTTCGAAGGAAGGCCACAAAGTGGTCCAAATATCCACTCCAGATTCTACAAAAAGAGTGTTTCAAAGCTGAACTATGAAAGCAAGGTTCAACTCTGTGAGTTGAATGCAAACATCACAAAGAAGTTTCTCAGAATGCTTCCGTGTATTTCTGGGAAGTTTACCCCGTTTCCAACGAAATCCTCAGAGAGGTCCAAATATCCACTTGCAGATTCTACAGAAAGTGTGTTTGGAAAATGCTCCATCTAAAGGAATGTTCAGCTCTGTTAGTTCAATCCAATGATCACTAAGAATTGTCTGTGAATGCTTCCGTTTGGTTTTTAGATGAAGTTATTCCCTTTACTACAGTAGGCCTCAAAGCAGTCCAAATCTCCAATCGCAGATTCTACAAAAAGATTGTTTACAACCTGCTCTATCTATAGGAATGTTCAACTCTGTGAGTCGAATGCAATCATCACAAAAAAGTTTCTGAGAATGCTTCCATCTAGTTTTTATGTGAAGATTTTCCTTTTCCACCACAGGCATCAAAGCCCTCCAAATGTCCACTTGCAGATTCTAGAAAAAGAGGGTTTCAGAGCTGCTCTGTCAAGAGGAAAGTTCAATTCTTGAAGTGGAACACAAACATCACAAAGCAGTTTCTGAGAATGCTTCTGTTTAGTTTTTCTGTGAAGATGAACCCGTTTCCAACGAAATCTGCACAGAGGTCCACATAATCACTTGCAGAATCCAAAGAAAGAGAGTTTCAAAACTGCTCCATCAACAGGATTGTTCACCTCTGTGAGTTCAATGCAGTCATCACAGGAAACATTCTGAGAATGCTTCTGTCTAGGTTTGATGTGAAGATATACCCGTTTCGAAGGAAGGCCACAAAGTGGTCGAAATATCCACTTGCTGATTCTACAAAAAGAGTGTTTGAAAGCTGAACTAGGAAAGCAAGGTTCAACTCGGTGAGTTGAATGCAAACATCACAAAGAAGTTTCTCAGAATGCTTCCGTGTAGTTCTGGGAAGTTTATCCCGTTTCCAACGAAATCCTCAGAGAAGTCCAAATATCCACTTGCAGATTCTACAGAAAGTGGGTTTGGAATCTGCTCCATCTAAAGGAATGTTCAGCTCTGTTAGTTCAATCCAATGATCACTAAGAATTGTCTGTGAATGCTTCCGTTTGGTTTTTAGATGAAGTTATTTCCTTTACTACAGTAGGCCTCAAAGCAGTCCAAATCTCCAATCGCAGATTCTACAAAAAGATTGTTTACAACCTGCTCTATCTATACGAATGTTCAACTCTGTGAGTCGAATGCAATCATCCCAAAGTAGTTTCTGAGAATGCTTCCATCTAGTTTTTATGTGAAGAGTTTCCTTTTCCACCACAGGCCTCAAAGCCCTCCAAATGTCCACTTGCGGATTCTAGAATAAGAGGTTTTCAGAGCTGCTCTGTCAAGAGGAAAGTTCAATTCCTGAAGTGGAACAAAAACATCACAAAGCAGTTTCTGAGAATGCTTCTGTTTAGTTTTTCTGTGAAGATGAACCCGTTTCCAACGAAATCTTCACAGAGGTCCACATATCCACTTGCAGAATCCAAAGAAAGAGAGTTTCAAAACTGCTCCATCAGCAGGATTGTTCACCTCTGTGAGTTGAATGCAGTCATCACAGGAAACATTCTGAGAATGCTTCTGTCTAGGTTTGATGTGAAGATATACCCGTTTCGAAGGAAGGCCACAAAGTGGTCCAAATATCCACTTGCAGATTCTACAAAAAGAGTGTTTGAAAGCTGAACTATGAAAGCAAGGTTCAACTCTGTGAGTTGAATGCAAACATCACAAAGAAGTTTCTCAGAAAGCTTCCGTGTAGTTCTGGGAAGTTTATCCCGTTTCCAACGAAATCCTCAGAGAGGTCCAAATATCCACTTGCAGATTCTACAGAAAGTGTGTTTGGAAACTGCGCCATCTAAAGGAATGTTCAGCTCTGTTAGTTCAATGCAATGATCACTAAGAATTGTCTGTGAATGCTTCCGTTTGGTTTTTAGATGAAGTTATTTCCTTTACTACAGTAGGCCTCAAAGCAGTCCAAATTTCCAATCGCAGATTCTACAAAAAGATTGTTTACAACCTGCTCTATCTATAGGAATGTTCAACTCTGTGAGTCGAATGCAATCATCACAAAGTAGTTTCTGAGAATGCTTCCATCTAGTTTTTATGTGAAGATTTTCCTTTTCCACCACAGGCCTCAAAGCCCTCCAAATGTCCACTTGCAGATTCTAGAATAAGAGGGTTTCAGAGCTGCTCTGTCAAGAGGAAAGTTCAATTCTTGAAGTGGAACACAAACATCACAAAGCAGTTTCTGAGAATGCTCCTGTTTAGTTTTTCTGTGAAGATGAACCCGTTTCCAACGAAATCTTCACAGAGGTCCACATATCCACTTGCAGAATCCAAAGAAAGAGAGTTTCAAAACTGCTCCATCAGCAGGATTGTTCACCTCTGTGAGTTGAATGCAGTCATCACAGGAAACATTCTGAGAATGCTTCTGTCTATGTTTCATGTGAAGATATACCCGTTTCGAAGGAAGGCCACAAAGTGGTCCAAATATCCACTTGCAGATCCTACAAAAAGAGTGTTTGATAGCTGAACTATGAAAGCAAGGTTCAACTCTGTGAGTTGAATGCAAACATCACAAAGAAGTTTCTCACAATGCTTCCGTGTAGTTCTGGGAAGTTTATCCCGTTTCCAACGAAATCCTCAGAGAGGTCCAAATATCCACTTGCAGATTCTACAGAAAGTGTGTTTGGAAACTGCGCCATCTAAAGGAATGTTCAGCTCTGTTAGTTCAATGCAATGATCACTAAGAATTGTCTGTGAATGCTTCCGTTTGGTTTTTAGATGAAGTTATTTCCTTTACTACAGTAGGCCTCAAAGCAGTCCAAATCTCCAATCGCAGATTCTACAAAAAGATTGTTTACAACCTGCTCTATCTATAGGAATGTTCAACTCTGTGAGTCGAATGCAATCATCACAAAGTAGTTTCTGAGAATGCTTCCATCTAGTTTTTATGTGAAGATTTTCCTTTTCCACCACAGGCCTCAAAGCCCTCCAAATGTCCACTTGCAGATTCTAGAATAAGAGGGTTTCAGAGCTGCTCTGTCAAGAGGAAAGTTCAATTCCTGAAGTGGAACACAAACATCACAAAGCAGTTTCTGAGAATGCTCCTGTTTAGTTTTTCTGTGAAGATGAACCCGTTTCCAACGAAATCTTCACAGAGGTCCACATATCCACTTGCAGAATCCAAAGAAAGAGAGTTTCAAAACTGCTCCATCAGCAGGATTGTTCACCTCTGTGAGTTGAATGCAGTCATCACAGGAAACATTCTGAGAATGCTTCTGTCTATGTTTGATGTGAAGATATACCCGTTTCGAAGGAAGGCCACAAAGTGGTCCAAATATCCACTTGCAGATTCTACAAAAAGAGTGTTTGAAAGCTGAACTATGAAAGCAAGGTTCAACTCTGTGAGTTGAATGCAAACATCACAAAGAAGTTTCTCAGCATGCTTCCGTGTAGTTCTGGGAAGTTTATCCCGTTTCCAACGAAATCCACAGAGAGGTCCAAATATCCACTTGCAGATTCTACAGAAAGTGTGTTTGGAAACTGCTCCATCTAAAGGAATGTTCAGCTCTGTTAGTTCAATCCAATGATCACTAAGAATTGTCTGTGAATGCTTCCGTTTGGTTTTTAGATGAAGTTATTTCCTTTACTACAGTAGGCCTCAAAGCAATCCAAATCTCCAATCGCAGATTCTACAAAAACATTGTTTACAACCTGCTCTATCTATAGGAATGTTCAACTGCTGTGAGTCGAATGCAATCATCACAAAGTAGTTTGCTGAGAATGCTTCCATCTAGTTTTTATGTGAAGATTTTCCTTTTCCACCACAGGCCTCAAAGCCCTCCAAATGTCCACTTGCAGATTCTAGAAAAAGAGGGTTTCAGAGCTGCTCTGTGAAGAGGAAAGTTCAATTCCTGAAGTGGAACACAAACATCACAAAGCAGTTTCTGAGAATTCTTCTGTTTAATTTTTCTGTGAAGATGAACCCGTTTCCAACGAAATCTTCACAGAGGTCCACATATCCACTTGCAGAATCCAAAGAAAGAGAGTTTCAAAACTGCTCCATCAGCAGGATTGTTCACCTCTGTGAGTTGAATGCAGTCATCACAGGAAACATTCTGAGAATGCTTCTGTCTAGGTTTGATGTGAAGGTATACCCGTTTCGAAGGAAGGCCACAAAGTGGTCCAAATATCCACTTGCAGATTCTACAAAAAGAGTGTTTGAAAGCTGAACTATGAAAGCAAGGTTCAACTCTGTGAGTTGAATGCAAACATCACAAAGAAGTTTCTCAGAATGCTTCCGTGTAGTTCTGGGAAGTTTATCCCGTTTCCAACGAAATCCTCAGAGAGGTCCAAATATCCACTTGCAGATTCTACAGAAAGTGTGTTTGGAAACTGCGCCATCTAAAGGAATGTTCAGCTCTGTTAGTTCAATCCAATGATCACTAAGAATTGTCTGTGAATGCTTCCGTTTGGTTTTTAGATGAAGTTATTTCCTTTACTACAGTAGGCCTCAAAGCAGTCCAAATCTCCAATCGCAGATTCTACAAAAAGATTGTTTACAACCTGCTCTATCTATAGGAATGTTCAACTCTGTGAGTCGAATGCAATCATCACAAAGTAGTTTCTGAGAATGCTTCCATCTAGTTTTTATGTGAAGATTTTCCTTTTCCACCACAGGCCTCAAAGCCCTCCAAATGTCCACTTGCAGATTCTAGAAAAAGAGGGTTTCAGAGCTGCTCTGTCAAGAGGAAAGTTCAATTCTTGAAGTGGAACACAAACATCACAAAGCAGTTTCTGAGAATGCTCCTGTTTAGTTTTTCTGTGAAGATGAACCCGTTTCCAACGAAATCTTCACAGAGGTCCACATATCCACTTGCAGAATCCAAAGAAAGAGAGTTTCAAAACTGCTCCATCAGCAGGATTGTTCACCTCTGTGAGTTGAATGCAGTCATCACAGGAAACATTCTGAGAATGCTTCTGTCTAGGTTTGATGTGAAGATATACCCGTTTCGAAGGAAGGCCACAAAGTGGTCCAAATATCCACTTGCAGATTCTACAAAAAGAGTGTTTGAAAGTTGAACTATGAAAGCAAGGTTCAACTCTGTGAGTTGAATGCAAACATCACAAAGAAGTTTCTCACAATGCTTCCGTGTAGTTCTGGGAAGTTTATCCCGTTTCCAACGAAATCCTCAGAGAGGTCCAAATATCCACTTGCAGATTCTACATAAAGTTTGTTTGGAAACTGCGCCATCTAAAGGAATGTTCAGCTCTGTTAGTTCAATGCAATGATCACTAAGAATTGTCTGTGAATGCTTCCGTTTGGTTTTTAGATGAAGTTATTTCCTTTACTACAGTAGGCCTCAAAGCAGTCCAAATCTCCAATCGCAGATTCTACAAAAAGATTGTTTACAACCTGCTCTATCTATAGGAATGTTCAACTCTGTGAGTCGAATGCAATCATCACAAAGTAGTTTCTGAGAATGCTTCCATCTAGTTTTTATGTGAAGATTTTCCTTTTCCACCACAGGCCTCAAAGCCCTCCAAATGTCCACTTGCAGATTCTAGAAAAAGAGGGTTTCAGAGCTGCTCTGTCAAGAGGAAAGTTCAATTCCTGAAGTGGAACACAAACATCACAAAGCAGTTTCTGAGAATGCTCCTGTTTAGTTTTTCTGTGAAGATGAACCCGTTTCCAACGAAATCTTCACAGAGGTCCACATATCCACTTGCAGAATCCAAAGAAAGAGAGTTTCAAAACTGCTCCATCAGCAGGATTGTTCACCTCTGTGAGTTGAATGCAGTCATCACAGGAAACATTCTGAGAATGCTTCTGTCTAGGTTTGATGTGAAGATATACCCGTTTCGAAGGAAGGCCACAAAGTGGTCCAAATATCCACTTGCAGATTCTACAAAAAGAGTGTTTGAAAGCTGAACTATGAAAGCAAGGTTCAACTCTGTGAGTTGAATGCAAACATCACAAAGAAGATTCTCAGAATGCTTCCGTGTAGTTCTGGGAAGTTTATCCCGTTTCCAACGAAATCCTCTTAGAGGTCCAAATATCCACTTGCAGATTCTACAGAAAGTGGGTTTGGAAACTGCTCCATCTAAAGGAATGTTCAGCTCTGTTAGTTCAATCCAATGATCACTAAGAATTGTCTGTGAATGCTTCCGTTTGGTTTTTAGATGAAGTTATTTCCTTTACTGCAGTAGGCCTCAAAGCATTCCAAATCTCGAATCGCAGATTCTACAAAAAGATTGTTTACAACCTGCTCTATCTATAGGAATGTTCAACTCTGTGAGTCGAATGCAATCATCACAAAGTAGTTTCTGAGAATGCTTCCATCTAGTTTTTATGTGAAGATTTTCCTTTTCCACCACAGGCCTCAAAGCCCTCCAAATGTCCACTTGCAGATTCTAGAAAAAGAGGGTTTCAGAGCTGCTCTGTCAAGAGGAAAGTTCAATTCCTGAAGTGGAACACAAACATCACAAAGCAGTTTCTGAGAATGCTTCTGTTTAGTTTTTCTGTGAAGATGAACCCGTTTCCAACGAAATCTTCACAGAGGTCCACATATCCACTTGCAGAATCCAAAGAAAGAGAGTTTCAAAACTGCTCCATCAGCAGGATTGTTCACCTCTGTGAGTTGAATGCAGTCATCACAGGTAACATTCTGAGAATGCTTCTGTCTAGGTTTGATGTGAAGATATACCCGTTTCGAAGGAAGGCCACAAAGTGGTCCAAATATCCACTTGCAGATTCTACAAAAAGAGTGTTTGAAAGCTGAACTATGAAAGCAAGGTTCAACTCTGTGAGTTGAATGCAAACATCACAAAGAAGTTTCTCAGAATGCTTCCGTGTAGTTCTGGGAAGTTTATCCCGTTTCCAACGAAATCCTCAGAGAAGTCCAAATATCCACTTGCAGATTCTACAGAAAGTGGGTTTGGAAACTGCTCCATCTAAAGGAATGTTCAGCTCTGTTAGTTCAATCCAATGATCACTAAGAATTGTCTGTGAATGCTTCCGTTTGGTTTTTAGATGAAGTTATTTCCTTTACTACAGTAGGCCTCAAAGCAGTCCAAATCTCCAATCGCAGATTCTACAAAAAGATTGTTTACAACCTGCTCTATCTATAGGAATGTTCAACTCTGTGAGTCGAATGCAATCATCACAAAGTAGTTTCTGAGAATGCTTCCATCTAGTTTTTATGTGAAGATTTTCCTTTTCCACCACAGGCCTCAAAGCCCTCCAAATGTCCACTTGCAGATTCTAGAAAAAGAGGGTTTCAGAGCTGCTCTGTCAAGAGGAAAGTTCAATTCTTGAAGTGGAACACAAACATCACAAAGCAGTTTCTGAGAATGCTTCTGTTTAGTTTTTCTGTGAAGATGAACCCGTTTCCAACGAAATCTTCCCAGAGGTCCACATATCCACTTGCAGAATCCAAAGAAAGAGAGTTTCAAAACTGCTCCATCAGCAGGATTGTTCACCTCTGTGAGTTGAATGCAGTCATCACAGGAAACATTCTGAGAATGCTTCTGTCTAGGTTTGATGTGAAGATATACCCGTTTCGAAGGAAGGCCACAAAGTGGTCCAAATATCCACTTGCAGATTCTACAAAAAGAGTGTTTGAAAGCTGAACTATGAAAGCAAGGTTCAACTCTGTGAGTTGAATGCAAACATCACAAAGAAGTTTCTCAGAATGCTTCCGTGTAGTTCTGGGAAGTTTATCCCGTTTCAAACGAAATCCTCAGAGAGGTCCAAATATCCACTTTCAGATTCTACAGAAAGTGTGTTTGGAAACTGCGCCATCTAAAGGAATGTTCAGCTCTGTTAGTTCAATCCAATGATCACTAAGAATTGTCTGTGAATGCTTCCGTTTGGTTTTTAGATGAAGTTATTTCCTTTACTACAGTAGGCCTCAAAGCAGTCCAAATCTCCAATCGCAGATTCTACAAAAAGATTGTTTACAACCTGCTCTATCTATAGGAATGTTCAACTCTGTGAGTCGAATGCAATCATCACAAAGTAGTTTCTGAGAATGCTTCCATCTAGTTTTTATGTGAAGATTTTCCTTTTCCACCACAGGCCTCAAAGCCCTCCAAATGTCCACTTGCAGATTCTAGAAAAAGAGGGTTTCAGAGTTGCTCTGTCAAGAGGAAAGTTCACTTCCTGAAGTGGAACACAAACATCACAAAGCAGTTTCTGAGAATGCTCCTGTTTAGTTTTTCTGTGAAGATGAACCCGTTTCCAACGAAATCTTCACAGAGGTCCACATATCCACTTGCAGAATCCAAAGAAAGAGAGTTTCAAAACTGCTCCATCAGCAGGATTGTTCACCTCTGTGAGTTGAATGCAGTCATCACAGGAAACATTCTGAGAATGCTTCTGTCAAGGTTTGATGTGAAGATATACCCGTTTCGAAGGAAGGCCACAAAGTGGTCCAAATATCCACTTGCAGATTCTACAAAAAGAGTGTTTGAAAGCTGAACTATGAAAGCAAGGTTCAACTGCTGTGAGTTGAATGCAAACATCACAAAGAAGTTTCTCAGAATGCTTCCGTGTAGTTCTGGGAAGTTTATCCCGTTTCCAACGAAATCCTCAGAGAAGTCCAAATATCCACTTGTAGATTCTACAGAAAGTGTGTTTGGAAACTGCTCCATCTAAAGGAATGTTCAGCTCTGTTAGTTCAATCCAATGATCACTAAGAATTGTCTGTGAATGCTTCCGTTTGGTTTTTAGATGAAGTTATTTCCTTTACTACAGTAGGCCTCAAAGCAGTCCAAATCTCCAATCGCAGATTCTACAAAAAGATTGTTTACAACCTGCTCTATCTATAGGAATGTTCAACTCTGTGAGTCGAATGCAATCATCACAAAGTAGTTTCTGAGAATGCTTCCATCTAGTTTTTATGTGAAGATTTTCCTTTTCCACCACAGGCCTCAAAGCCCTCCAAATGTCCACTTGCAGATTCTAGAATAAGAGGGTTTCAGAGCTGCTCTGTCAAGAGGAAAGTTCAATTCCTGAAGTGGAACACAAACATCACAAAGCAGTTTCTGAGAATGCTTCTGTTTAGTTTTTCTGTGAAGATGAACCCGTTTCCAACGAAATCTTCACAGAGGTCCACATATCCACTTGCAGAATCCAAAGAAAGAGAGTTTCAAAACTGCTCCATCAGCAGGATTGTTCACCTCTGTGAGTTGAATGCAGTCATCACAGGAAACATTCTGAGAATGCTTCTGTCTAGGTTTGATGTGAAGATATACCCGTTTCGAAGGAAGGCCACAAAGTGGTCCAAATATCCACTTGCAGATTCTACAAAAAGAGTGTTTGAAAGCTGAACTATGAAAGCAAGGTTCAACTCTGTGAGTTGAATGCAAACTTCACAAAGATGTTTCTCACAATGCTTCCGTGTAGTTCTGGGAAGTTTATCCCGTTTCCAACGAAATCCTCAGAGAAGTCCAAATATCCACTTGCAGATTCTGCAGAAAGTGTGTTTGGAAACTGCTCCATCTAAAGGAATGTTCAGCTCTGTTAGTTCAATCCAATGATCACTAAGAATTGTCTGTGAATGCTTCCGTTTGGTTTTTAGATGAAGTTATTTCCTTTACTACAGTAGGCCTCAAAGCAATCCAAATCTCCAATCGCAGATTCTACAAAAACATTGTTTACAACCTGCTCTATCTATAGGAATGTTCAACTCTGTGAGTCGAATGCAATCATCACAAAGTAGTTTCTGAGAATGCTTCCATCTAGTTTTTATGGGAAGATTTTCCTTTTCCACCACAGGCCTCAAAGCCCTCCAAATGTCCACTTGCAGATTCTAGAAAAAGAGGGTTTCAGAGCTGCTCTGTCAAGAGGAAAGTTCAATTCTTGAAGTGGAACACAAACATCACAAAGCAGTTTCTGAGAATGCTTCTGTTTAGTTTTTCTGTGAAGATGAACCCGTTTCCAACGAAATCTTCACAGAGGTCCACATATCCACTTGCAGAATCCAAAGAAAGAGAGTTTCAAAACTGCTCCATCAACAGGATTGTTCACCTCTGTGAGTTGAATGCAGTCATCACAGGAAACATTCTGAGAATGCTTCTGTCTAGGTTTGATGTGAAGATATACCCGTTTCGAAGGAAGGCCACAAAGTGGTCCAAATATCCACTTGCAGATTCTACAAAAAGAGTGTTTGAAAGCTGAACTATGAAAGCAAGGTTCAACTCTGTGAGTTGAATGCAAACATCACAAAGAAGTTTCTCAGAATGCTTCCGTGTAGTTCTGGGAAGTTTATCCCGTTTCCAAAGAAATCCTCAGAGAAGTCCAAATATCCACTTGCAGATTCTACAGAAAGTGTGTTTGTAAACTGCTCTATCTAAAGGAATGTTCAGCTCTGTTTGTTCAATCCAATGATCACTAAGTATTGTCTGTGAATGCTTCCATTTGGTTTTTAGATGAAGTTATTTCCTTTACTACAGTAGGCCTCAAAGCAGTCCAAATCTCCAATCGCAGATTCTACAAAAAGATTGTTTACAACCTGCTCTATCTATAGGAATGTTCAACTCTGTGAGTCGAATGCAATCATCACAAAGTAGTTCCTGAGAATGCTTCCATCTAGTTTTTATGTGAAGATTTTCCTTTTCCACCACAGGCCTCAAAGCCCTCCAAATGTCCACTTGCAGATTCTAGAATAAGAGGGTTTCAGAGCTGCTCTGTCAAGAGGAAAGTTCAATTCCTGAAGTCGAACACAGACATCACACAGCAGTTTCTGAGAATGCTTCTGTTAATTTTTCTGTGAAGATGAACCCGTTTCCAACGAAATCTTCACAGAGGTCCACATATCCACTTCCAGAATCCAAAGAAGGAGAGTTTCAAAACTGCTCCATCAGCAGGATTGTTCACCTCTGTGAGTTGAATGCAGTCATCACAGGAAACATTCTGAGAATGCTTCTGTCTAGGTTTGATGTGAAGATATACCCGTTTCGAAGGAAGGCCACAAAGTGGTCCAAATATCCACTTGCAGATTCTACAAAAAGAGTGTTTGAAAGCTGAACTATGAAAGCAAGGTTCAACTCTGTGAGTTGAATGCAAACATCACAAAGAAGTTTCTCACAATGCTTCCGTGTAGTTCTGGGAAGTTTATCCCGTTTCCAACGAAATCCTCAGAGAAGTCCAAATATCCACTTGCAGATTCTACAGAAAGTGTGTTTGGAAACTGCGCCATCTAAAGGAATGTTCAGCTCTGTTAGTTCAATGCAATGATCACTAAGAATTGTCTGTGAATGCTTCCGTTTGGTTTTTAGATGAAGTTATTTCCTTTACTACAGTAGGCCTCAAAGCAGTCCAAATCTCCAATCGCAGATTCTACAAAAACATTGTTTACAACCTGCTCTATCTATAGGAATGTTCAACTCTGTGAGTCGAATGCAATCATCACAAAGTAGTTTCTGAGAATGCTTCCATCTAGTTTTTATGTGAAGATTTTCCTTTTCCACCACAGGCCTCAAAGCCCTCCAAATGTCCACTTGCAGATTCTAGAAAAAGAGGGTTTCAGAGCTTCTCTGTCAAGAGGAAAGTTCAATTCTTGAAGTGGAACACAAACATCACAAAGCAGTTTCTGAGAATGCTCCTGTTTAGTTTTTCTGTGCAGTTGAACCCGTTTCCAACGAAATCTTCACAGAGGTCCACATATCCACTTGCAGAATCCAAAGAAAGAGAGTTTCAAAACTGCTCCATCAACAGGATTGTTCACCTCTGTGAGTTGAATGCAGTCATCACAGGAAACATTCTGAGAATGCTTCTGTCTAGGTTTGAAGTGAAGATATACCCGTTTCGAAGGAAGGCCACAAATTGGTCCAAATATCCACTTGCAGATTCTACCAAAAGAGTGTTTGAAAGCTGAACTATGAAAGCAAGGTTCAACTCTGTTAGTTGAATGCAAACATCACAAAGAAGTTTCTCAGAATACTTCCGTGTAGTTCTGGGAAGTTTATCCCGTTTCCAACGAAATCCTCAGAGAGGTCCAAATATCCACTTGCAGATTCTAAAGAAAGTGTGTTTGGAAACTGCGCCATCTAAAGGAATGTTCAGCTCTGTTAGTTCAATGCAATGATCACTAAGAATTGTCTGTGAATGCTTCCGTTTGGTTTTTAGATGAAGTTATTTCCTTTACTACAGTAGGCCTCAAAGCAGTCCAAATCTCCAATCGCAGATTCTACAAAAAGATTGTTTACAACCTGCTCTATCTATAGGAATGTTCAACTCTGTGAGTCGAATGCAATCATCACAAAGTAGTTTCTGAGAATGCTTCCATCTAGTTTTTATGTGAAGATTTTCCTTTTCCACCACAGGCCTCAAAGCCCTCCAAATGTCCACTTGCAGATTCTAGAATAAGAGGGTTTCAGAGCTGCTCTGTCAAGAGGAAAGTTCAATTCCTGAAGTGGAACACAAACATAACAAAGCAGTTTCTGAGAATGCTTCTGTTTAGTTTTTCTGTGAAGATGAACCCGTTTCCAACGAAATCTTCACAGAGGTCCACATATCCACTTGCAGAATCCAAAGAAAGAGAGTTTCAAAACTGCTCCATCAGCAGGATTGTTCACCTCTGTGAGTTGAATGCAGTCATCACAGGAAACATTCTGAGAATGCTTCTGTCTAGGTTTGATGTGAAGATATACCCGTTTCGAAGGAAGGCCAGAAAGTGGTCCAAATATCCACTTGCAGATTCTACAAAAAGAGTGTTTGAAAGCTGAACTATGAAAGCAAGGTTCAACTCTGTGAGTTGAATGCAAACATCACAAAGAAGTTTCTCAGAATGCTTCCGTGTAGTTCTGGGAAGTTTATCCCGTTTCCAACGAAATCCTCAGAGAGGTCCAAATATCCACTTGCAGATTCTACAGAAAGTGTGTTTGGAAACTGCGCCATCTAAAGGAATGTTCAGCTCTGTTAGTTCAATGCAATGATCACTAAGAATTGTCTGTGAATGCTTCCGTTTGGTTTTTAGATGAAGTTATTTCCTTTACTACAGTAGGCCTCAAAGCAGTCCAAATCTCCAATCGCAGATTCTACAAAAAGATTGTTTACAACCTGCTCTATCTATAGGAATGTTCAACTCTGTGAGTCGAATGCAATCATCACAAAGTAGTTTCTGAGAATGCTTCCATCTAGTTTTTATGTGAAGATTTTCCTTTTCCACCACAGACCTCAAAGCCCTCCAAATGTCCACTTGCAGATTCTAGAGAAAGAGGGTTTCAGAGCTGCTCTGTCAAGAGGAAAGTTCAATTCATGAAGTGGAACACAAACATCACAAAGCAGTTTTTGAGAATGCTTCTGTTTAGTTTTTCTGTGAAGATGAACCCATTTCCAACGAAATCTTCACAGAGGTCCACATATCCACTTGCAGAATCCAAAGAAAGAGAGTTTTAAAACTGCTGCATCAACAGGATTGTTCACCTCTGTGAGTTGAATGCAGTCATCACAGGAAACATTCTGAGAATGCTCCTGTTTAATTTTTCTGTGAAGATGAACCCGTTTCGAAGGAAGGCCCAAAAGTGGTCCAAATATCCACTTGCAGATTCTACAAAAAGAGTGTTTGAAAGCTGAACTTTGAAAGCAAGGTTCAACTCTGTGAGTTGAATGCAAACATCACAAAGAAGTTTCTCAGAATGCTTCCGTGTAGTTCTGGGAAGTTTATCCCCTTTCCAACGAAATCCTCAGAGAGGTCCAAATATCCACTTGCAGATTCTACAGAAAGTATGTTTGGAAACTGCGCCATCTAAAGGAATGTTCAGCTCTGTTAGTTCAATGCAATGATCACTAAGAATTGTCTGTGAATGCTTCCGTTTGGTTTTTAGATGAAGTTATTTCCTTTACTACAGTAGGCCTCAAAGCAATCCAAATCTCCAATCGCAGATTCTACCAAAAGATTGTTTACAACCTGCTCTATCTATAGGAATGTTCAACTCTGTGAGTCGAATGCAATCATCACAAAGTAGTTTCTGAGAATGCTTCCATCTAGTTTTTATGTGAAGATTTTCCTTTTCCACCACAGGCCTCAAAGCCCTCGAAATGTCCACTTGCAGATTCTAGAAAAAGAGGGTTTCAGAGCTGCTCTGTCAAGAGGAAAGTTCAATTCTTGAAGTGGAACACAAACATCACAAAGCAGTTTCTGAGAATGCTCATGTTTAGTTTTTCTGTGAAGATGAACCCGTTTCCAACGAAATCTTCACAGAGGTCCACATATCCACTTGTAGAATCCAAAGAAAGAGAGTTTCAAAACTGCTCCATCAGCAGGATTGTTCACCTCTGTGAGTTGAATGCAGTCATCACAGGAAACATTCTGAGAATGCTTCTGTCTAGGTTTGATGTGAAGATATACCCGTTTCGAAGGAAGGCCACAAAGTGGTCCAAATATCCACTTGCAGATTCTACAAAAAGAGTGTTTGAAAGCTGAACTATGAAAGCAAGGTTCAACTCTGTGAGTTGAATGCAAACATCACAGAGAAGTTTCTCAGAATGCTTCCGTGTAGTTCTGGGAAGTTTATCCCGTTTCCAACGAAATCCTCAGAGAGGTCCAAATATCCACTTGCAGATTCTACAGAAAGTGTGTTTGGAAACTGCGCCATCTAAAGGAATGTTCAGCTCTGTTAGTTTAATGCAATGATCACTAAGAATTGTCTGTGAATGCTTCCGTTTGGTTTTTAGATGAAGTTATTTCCTTTACTACAGTAGGCCTCAAAGCAGTCCAAATCTCCAATCGCAGATTCTACAAAAAGATTGTTTACAACCTGCTCTATCTATAGGAATGTTCAACTCTGTGAGTCGAAAGCCATCATCACAAAGTAGTTTCTGAGAATGCTTCCATCTAGTTTTTATGTGAAGATTTTCCTTTTCCACCACAGGCCTCAAAGCCCTCCAAATGTCCACTTGCAGATTCTAGAATAAGAGGGTTTCAGAGCTGCTCTGTCAAGAGGAAAGTTCAATTCCTGAAGTGGAACACAAACATCACAAAGCAGTTTCTGAGAATGCTTCTGCTTAGTTTTTCTGTGAAGATGAACCCGTTTCCAACGAAATCTTCACAGAGGTCCACATATCAACTTGCAGAATCCAAAGAAATAGAGTTTCAAAACTGCTCCATCAACAGGATTGTTCACCTCTGTGAGTTGAATGCAGTCATCACAGGAAACATTCTGAGAATGCTTCTGTCTAGGTTTGATGTGAAGATATACCCGTTTCGAAGGAAGGCCACAAAGTGGTCCAAATATCCACTTGCAGATTCTACAAAAAGAGTGTTTGAAAGCTGAGCTATGAAAGCAAGGTTCAACTCTGTGAGTTGAATGCAAACATCACAAAGAAGTTTCTCAGAATGCTTCCGTGTAGTTCTGGGAAGTTTATCCCGTTTCCAACGAAATCCTCAGAGAAGTCCAAATATCCACTTGCAGATTCTACAGAAAGTGTGTTTGGAAACTGCTCCATCTAAAGGAATGTTCAGCTCTGTTAGTTCAATCCAATGATCACTAAGAATTGTCTGTGAATGCTTCCGTTTGGTTTTTAGATGAAGTTATTTCCTTTACTACAGTAGGCCTCAAAGCAGTCCAAATCTCCAATCGCAGATTCTACAAAAAGATTGTTTACAACCTGCTCTATCTATAGGAATGTTCAACTCTGTGAGTCGAATGCAATCATCACAAAGTAGTTTCTGAGAATGCTTCCATCTAGTTTTTATGAGAAGATTTTCCTTTTCCACCACAGGCCTCAAAGCCCTCCAAATGTCCACTTGTAGATTCTAGAATAAGAGGGTTTCAGAGCTGCTCTGTCAAGAGGAAAGTTCAATTCCTGAAGTGGAACACAAACATCACAAAGCAGTTTCTGAGAATGCTTCTGTTTAGTTTTTCTGTGAAGATGAACCCGTTTCCAACGAAATCTTCACAGAGGTCCACATATCCACTTGCAGAATCCAAAGAAAGAGAGTTTCAAAACTGCTCCATCAGCAGGATTGTTCACCTCTGTGAGTTGAATGCAGTCATCACAGGAAACATTCTGAGAATGCTTCTGTCTAGGTTTGATGTGAAGATATACCCGTTTCGAAGGAAGGCCACAAAGTGGTCCAAATATCCACTTGCAGATTCTACAAAAAGAGTGTTTGAAAGCTGAACTATGAAAGCAAGGTTCAACTCTGTGAGTTGAATGCAAACATCACAAAGAAGTTTCTCACAATGCTTCCCTGTAGTTCTGGGAAGTTTATCCCGTTTCCAACGAAATCCTCAGAGAAGTCCAAATATCCACTTGCAGATTCTACAGAAAGTGGTTTTGGAAACTGCTCCATCTAAAGGAATGTTCAGCTCTGTTAGTTCAATCCAATGATCACTAAGAATTGTCTGTGAATGCTTCCGTTTGGTTTTTAGATGAAGTTATTTCCTTTACTACAGTAGGCCTCAAAGCAGTCCAAATCTCCAATCGCAGATTCTACAAAAAGATTGTTTACAACCTGCTCTATCTATAGGAATGTTCAACTCTGTGAGTCGAATGCAATCATCACAAAGTAGTTTCTGAGAATGCTTCCATCTAGTTTTTATGTGAAGATTTTCCTTTTCCACCACAGGCCTCAAAGCCCTCCAAATGTCCACTTGCAGATTCTAGAAAAAGAGGGTTTCAGAGCTGCTCTGTCAAGAGGAAAGTTCAATTCTTGAAGTGGAACACAAACATCACAAAGTAGTTTCTGAGAATGCTTCTGTTTAGTTTTTCTGTGAAGATGAACCCGTTTCCAACGAAATCTTCACAGAGGTCCACATATCAACTTGCAGAATCCAAAGAAAGAGAGTTTCAAAAGTGCTCCATCAACAGGATTGTTCACCTCTGTGAGTTGAATGCAGTCATCACAGGAAACATTCTGAGAATGCTTCTGTCTAGGTTTGATGTGAAGATATACCCGTTTCGAAGGAAGGCCACAAAGTGGTCCAAATATCCACTTGCAGATTCCACAAAAAGAGTGTTTGAAAGCTGAACTATGAAAGCAAGGTTCAACTCTGTGAGTTGAATGCAAACATCACAAAGAAGTTTCTCACAATGCTTCCGTGTAGTTCTGGGAAGTTTATCCCGTTTCCAACGAAATCCTCAGAGAAGTCCAAATATCCACTTGCAGATTCTACAGAAAGTGTGTTTGGAAACTGCTCCATCTAAAGGAATGTTCAGCTCTGTTAGTTCAATCCAATGATCACTAAGAATTGTCTGTGAATGCTTCCGTTTGGTTTTTAGATGAAGTTATTTCCTTTACTACAGTAGGCCTCAAAGCAGTCCAAATCTCCAATCGCAGATTCTACAAAAAGATTGTTTACAACCTGCTCTATCTATACGAATGTTCAACTCTGTGAGTCGAATGCAATCATCACAGAGTAGTTTCTGAGAATGCTTCCATCTAGTTTTTATGTGAAGATTTTCCTTTTCCACCACAGGCCTCAAAGCCCTCCAAATGTCCACTTGCAGATTCTAGAAAAAGAGGGTTTCAGAGCTGCTCTGTCAAGAGGAAAGTTCAATTCCTGAAGTGGAACACAAACATCACAAAGCAGTTTCTGAGAATGCTCCTGTTTAGTTTTTCTGTGAAGATGAACCCGTTTCCAACGAAATCTTCACAGAGGTCCACATATCCACTTGCAGAATCCAAAGAAAGAGAGTTTCAAAACTGCTCCATCAGCAGGATTGTTCACCTCTGTGAGTTGAATGCAGTCATCACAGGAAACATTCTGAGAATGCTTCTGTCTAGGTTTGATGTGAAGATATACCCGTTTCGAAGGAAGGCCACAAAGTGGTCCAAATATCCACTTGCAGATTCTACAAAAAGAGTGTTTGAAAGCTGAACTATGAAAGCAAGGTTCAACTCTGTGAGTTGAATGCAAACATCACAAAGAAGTTTCTCACAATGCTTCCGTGTAGTTCTGGGAAGTTTATCCCGTTTCCAACGAAATCCTCAGAGAAGTCCAAATATCCACTTGCAGATTCTGCAGAAAGTGTGTTTGGAAACTGCTCCATCTAAAGGAATGTTCAGCTCTGTTAGTTCAATCCAATGATCACTAAGAATTGTCTGTGAATGCTTCCGTTTGGTTTTTAGATGAAGTTATTTCCTTTACTACAGTAGGCCTCAAAGCAGTCCAAATCTCCAATCGCAGATTCTACAAAAAGATTGTTTACAACCTGCTCTATCTATAGGAATGTTCAACTCTGTGAGTCGAATGCAATCATCACAAAGTAGTTTCTGAGAATGCTTCCATCTAGTTTTTATGTGAAGATTTTCCTTTTCCACCACAGGCCTCAAAGCCCTCCAAATGTCCACTTGCAGATTCTAGAAAAAGAGGGTTTCAGAGCTGCTCTGTCAAGAGGAAAGTTCAATTCCTGAAGTGGAACACAAACATCACAAAGCAGTTTCTGAGAATGCTTCTGTTTAGTTTTTCTGTGAAGATGAACCCGTTTCCAACGAAATCTTCACAGAGGTCCACATATCCACTTGCAGAATCCAAAGAAAGAGAGTTTCAAAACTGCTCCATCAGCAGGATTGTTCACCTCTGTGAGTTGAATGCAGTCATCACAGGAAACATTCTGAGAATGCTTCTGTCTAGGTTTGATGTGAAGATATACCCGTTTCGAAGGAAGGCCACAAAGTGGTCCAAATATCCACTTGCAGATTCTACAAAAAGAGTGTTTGAAAGCTGAACTATGAAAGCAAGGTTCAACTCTGTGAGTTGAATGCAAACATCACAAAGAAGTTTCTCAGCATGCTTCCGTGTAGTTCTGGGAAGTTTATCCCGTTTCCAACGAAATCCTCAGAGAAGTCCAAATATCCACTTGCAGATTCTAGAGAAAGTGTGTTTGGAAACTACTCCATCTAAAGGAATGTTCAGCTCTGTTAGTTCAATCCAATGATCACTAAGAATTGTCTGTGAATGCTTCCGTTTGGTTTTTAGATGAAGTTATTTCCTTTACTACAGTAGGCCTCAAAGCAGTCCAAATCTCCAATCGCAGATTCTACAAAAAGATTGTTTACAACCTGCTCTATCTATAGGAATGTTCAACTCTGTGAGTCGAATGCAATCATCACAAAGTAGTTTCTGAGAATGCTTCCATCTAGTTTTTATGTGAAGATTTTCCTTTTCCACCACAGGCCTCAAAGCCCTCCAAATGTCCACTTGCAGATTCTAGAATAAGAGGGTTTCAGAGCTGCTCTGTCAAGAGGAAAGTTCAATTCCTGAAGTGGAACACAAACATCACAAAGCAGTTTCTGAGAATGCTTCTGTTTAGTTTTTCTGTGAAAATGAACCCGTTTCCAACGAAATCTTCACAGAGGTCCACATATCCACTTGCAGAATCCAAAGAAAGAGAGATTCAAAACTGCTCCATCAAAAGGATTGTTCACCTCTGTGAGTTGAATGCAGTCATCACAGGAAACATTCTGAGAATGCTTCTGTCTAGGTTTGATGTGAAGATATACCCGTTTCGAAGGAAGGCCACAAAGTGGTCCAAATATCCACTTGCAGATTCTACAAAAAGAGTGTTTGAAAGCTGAACTATGAAAGCAAGGTTCAACTCTGTGAGTTGAATGCAAACATCACAAAGAAGTTTCTCAGAATGCTTCCGTGTAGTTCTGGGAAGTATATCCCGTTTCCAACGACATCCTCAGAGAAGTCCAAATATCCACTTGCAGATTCCACAGAAAGTGTGTTTGGAAACTGCTCCATCTAAAGGAATGTTCAGCTCTGTTAGTTCAATCCAATGATCACTAAGAATTGTCTGTGAATGCTTCCGTTTGGTTTTTAGGTGAAGTTATTTCCTTTACTACAGTAGGCCTCAAAGCAGTCCAAATCTCCAATCGCAGATTCTACAAAAAGATTGTTAACAACCTTCTCTATCTATAGGAATGTTCAACTCGGTGAGTCGAATGCAATCATCACAAAGTAGTTTCTGAGAATGCTTCCATCTAGTTTTTATGTGAAGATTTTCCTTTTCCACCACAGGCCTCAAAGCCCTCCAAATGTCCACTTGCAGATTCTAGAAAAAGAGGGTTTCAGAGCTGCTCTGTCAAGAGGAAAGTTCAATTCTTGAAGTGGAACACAAACATCACAAAGCAGTTTCTGAGAATGCTTCTGTTTAGTTTTTCTGTGAAGATGAACCCGTTTCCAATGAAATCTTCACAGAGGTCCACATATCCACTTGCAGAATCCAAAGAAAGAGAGTTTCAAAACTGCTCCAACAGCAGGATTGTTCACCTCTGTGAGTTGAATGCAGTCATCACAGGAAACATTCTGAGAATGCTTCTGTCTAGGTTTGATGTGAAGATATACCCGTTTCGAAGGAAGGCCACAAAGTGGTCCAAATATCCACTTGCAGATTCTACAAAAAGAGTGTTTGAAAGCTGAACTATGAAAGCAAGGTTCAACTCTGTGAGTTGAATGCAAACATCACAAAGAAGTTTCTCACAATGCTTCCGTGTAGTTCTGGGAAGTTTATCCCGTTTCCAACGAAATCCTCAGAGAAGTCCAAATATCCACTTGCAGATTCTACAGAAAGTGGGTTTGGAAACTGCTCCATCTAAAGGAATGTTCAGCTCTGTTAGTTCAATCCAATGATCACTAAGAATTGTCTGTGAATGCTTCCGTTTGGTTTTTAGATGAAGTTATTTCCTTTACTACAGTAGGCCTCAAAGCAGTCCAAATCTCCAATCGCAGATTCTAGAAAAAGATTGTTTACAACCTGCTCTATCTATAGGAATGTTCAACTCTGTGAGTCGAATGCAATCATCACAAAGAAGTTTCTGAGAATGCTTCCATAAAGTTTTTATGTGAAGATTTTCCTTTTCCACCACAGGCCTCAAAGCCCTCCAAATGTCCACTTGCAGATTCTAGAAAAAGAGGGTTTCAGAGCTGCTCTGTCAAGAGGAAAGTTCAATTCTTGAAGTGGAACACAAACATCACAAAGCAGTTTCTGAGAATGCTCCTGTTTAGTTTTTCTGTGAAGATGAACCCGTTTCCAACGAAATCTTCACAGAGGTCCACATATCCACTTGCAGAATCCAAAGAAAGAGAGTTTCAAAACTGCTCCATCAGCAGGATTGTTCACCTCTGTGAGTTGAATGCAGTCATCACAGGAAACATTCTGAGAATGCTTCTGTCTAGGTTTGATGTGAAGATATACCCGTTTCAAAGGAAGGCCACAAAGTGGTCCAAATATCCACTTGCAGATTCTACAAAAAGAGTGTTTGAAAGCTGAACTATGAAAGCAAGGTTCAACTCTGTGAGTTGAATGCAAACATCACAAAGAAGTTTCTCACAATGCTTCCGTGTAGTTCTGGGAAGTTTATCCCGTTTCCAACGAAATCCTCAGAGAAGTCCAAATATCCACTTGCAGATTCTAGAGAAGGTGGGTTTGGAAACTGCTCCATCTAAAGGAATGTTCAGCTCAGTTAGTTCAATCCAATGATCACTAAGAATTGTCTGTGAATGCTTCCGTTTGGTTTTTAGATGAAGTTATTTCATTTACTACAGTAGGCCTCAAAGCAGTCCAAATCTCCAATCGCAGATTCTACAAAAAGATTGTTTACAACCTGCTCTATCTATAGGAATGTTCAACTCTGTGAGTCGAATGCAATCATCACAAAGTAGTTTCTGAGAATGCTTCCATCTAGTTTTTATGTGAAGATTTTCCTTTTCCACCACAGGCCTCAAAGCCCTCCAAATGTCCACTTGCAGATTCTAGAAAAAGAGGGTTTCAGAGCTGCTCTTTCAAGAGGAAAGTTCAATTCCTGAAGTGGAACACAAACATCACAAAGCAGTTTCTGAGAATGCTTCTGTTTAGTTTTTCTGTGAAGATGAACCCGTTTCCAACGAAATCTTCACAGAGGTCCACATATCCACTTGCAGAATCCAAAGAAAGAGAGTTTCAAAACTGCTCCATCAGCAGCATTGTTCACCTCTGTGAGTTGAATGCAGTCATCACAGGAAACATTCTGAGAATGCTTCTGTCTAGGTTTGATGTGAAGATATACCTGTTTCGAAGGAAGGCAACAAAGTGGTCCAAATATCCACTTGCAGATTCTACAAAAAGAGTGTTTGAAAGCTGAACTATGAAAGCAAGGTTCAACTCTGTGAGTTGAATGCAAACATAACAAAGAAGTTTCTCAGAATGCTTCCGTGTAGTTCTGGGAAGTTTATCCCGTTTCCAACGAAATCCTCAGAGAGGTCCAAATATCCACTTGCAGATTCTACAGAAAGTGTGTTTGGAAACTGCGCCATCTAAGGGAATGTTCAGCTCTGTTAGTTCAATCCAATGATCACTAAGAATTGTCTGTGAATGCTTCCGTTTGGTTTTTAGATGAAGTTATTTCCTTTACTACAGTAGGCCTCAAAGCAGTCCAAATCTCCAATCGCAGATTCTACAAAAAGATTGTTTACAACCTGCTCTATCTATAGGAATGTTCAACTGTGTGAGTCGAATGCAATCATCACAAAGTAGTTTCTGAGAATGCTTCCATCTAGTTTTTATGTGAAGATTTTCCTTTTCCACCACAGGCCTCAAAGCCCTCCAAATGTCCACTTGCAGATTCTAGAAAAAGAGGGATTCAGAGCTGCTCTGTCAAGAGGAAAGTTCAATTCCTGAAGTGGAACGCAAACATCACAAAGCAGTTTCTGAGAATGCTTCTGTTTAGTTTTTCTGTGAAGATAAACCCGTTTCCAACGAAATCTTCACAGAGGTCCACATATCCACTTGCAGAATCCAAAGAAAGAGAGTTTCAAAACTGGTCCATCACCAGGATTGTTCACCTCTGTGAGTTGAATGCAGTCATCACAGGAAACATTCTGAGAATGCTTCTGTCTAGGTTTGATGTGAAGATATACCCGTTTCGAAGGAAGGCCACAAAGTGGTCCAAATATCCACTTGCAGATTCTACAAAAAGAGTGTTTGAAAGCTGAACTATGACAGCAAGGTTCAACTCTGTGAGTTGAATGCAAACATCACAAAGAAGTTTCTCAGAATACTTCCGTGTAGTTCTGGGAAGTTTATCCCGTTTCCAACGAAATCCTCAGAGAGGTCCAAATATCCACTTGCAGATTCTACAGAAAGTGTGTTTGGAAACTGCGCCATCTAAAGGAATGTTCAGCTCTGTTAGTTCAATCCAATGATCACTAAGAATTGTCTGTGAATGCTTCCGTTTGGTTTTTAGATGAAGTTATTTCCTTTACTACAGTAGGCCTCAAAGCAGTCCAAATCTCCAATCGCAGATTCTACAAAAAGATTGTTTACAACCTGCTCTATCTATAGGAATGTTCAACTCTGTGAGTCGAATGCAATCATCACAAAGTAGTTTCTGAGAATGCTTCCATCTAGTTTTTATGTGAAGATTTTCCTTTTCCACCACAGGCCTCAAAGCCCTCCAAATGTCCACTTGCAGATTCTAGAAAAAGAGGGTTTCAGAGCTGCTCTGTCAAGAGGAAAGTTCAATTCTTGAAGTGGAACACAAACATCACAAAGCAGTTTCTGAGAATGCTCCTGTTTAGTTTTTCTGTGAAGATGAACCCGTTTCCAACGAAATCTTCACAGAGGTCCACATATCCACTTGCAGAATCCAAAGAAAGAGAGTTTCAAAACTGCTCCAACAGCAGGATTGTTCACCTCTGTGAGTTGAATGCAGTCATCACAGGAAACATTCTGAGAATGCTTCTGTCTAGGTTTGATGTGAAGATGTACCCTTTTCAAAGGAAGGCCACAAAGTGGTCCAAATATCCACTTGCAGATTCTACAAAAAGAGTGTTTGAAAGCTGAACTATGAAAGCAAGGTTCAACTCTGTGAGTTGAATGCAAACATCAGAAAGATGATTCTCACAATGCTTCCGTGTAGTTCTGGGAAGTTTATCCCATTTCCAACGAAATCCTCAGAGAAGTCCAAATATCCACTTGCAGATTCTGCAGAAAGTGTGTTTGGAAACTGCTCCATCTAAAGGAATGTTCAGCTCTGTTAGTTCAATCCAATGATCACTAAGAATTGTCTGTGAATGCTTCCGTTTGGTTTTTAGATGAAGTTATTTCCTTTACTACAGTAGGCCTCAAAGCAGTCCAAATCTCCAATCGCAGATTCTACAAAAAGATTGTTTACAACCTGCTCTATCTATAGGAATGTTCAACTCTGTGAGTCGAATGCAATCATCACAAAGTAGTTTCTGAGAATGCTTCCATCTAGTTTTTATGTGAAGATTTTCCTTTTCCACCACAGGCCTCAAAGCCCTCCAAATGTCCACTTGCAGATTCTAGAAAAAGAGGGATTCAGAGCTGCTCTGTCAAGAGGAAAGTTCAATTCTTGAAGTGGAACACAAACATCACAAAGCAGTTTCTGAGAATGCTCCTGTTTAGTTTTTCTGTGAAGATGAACCCGTTTCCAACGAAATCTACACAGAGGTCCACATATCCACTTGCAGAATCCAAAGAAAGAGAGTTTCAAAACAGCTCCATCAGCAGGATCGTTCACCTCTGTGAGTTGAATGCAGTCATCACAGGAAACATTCTGAGAATGCTTCTGTCTAGGTTTGATGTGAAGATATACCCGTTTCGAAGGAAGGCCACAAAGTGGTCCAAATATCCACTTGCAGATTCTACAAAAAGAGTGTTTGAAAGCTGAACTATGAAAGCAAGGTTCAACTCTGTGAGTTGAATGCAAACATCACAAAGAAGTTTCTCAGAATGCTTCCGTGTAGTTCTGGGAAGTTTATCCCGTTTCCAACGAAATCCTCAGAGAGGTCCAAATATCCACTTGCAGATTCTACAGAAAGCGTGTTTGGAAACTGCGCCATCTAAGGGAATGTTCAGCTCTGTTAGTTCAATCCAATGATCACTAAGAATTGCCTGTGAATGCTTCCGTTTGGTTTTTAGATGAAGTTATTTCCTTTACTACAGTACGCCTCAAAGCAGTCCAAATCTCCAATCGCAGATTCTACAAAAAGATTGTTTACTACCTGCTCTATCTATAGGAATGTTCAACTCTGTGAGTCGAATGCAATCATCGCAAAGTAGTTTCTGAGAATGCTTCCATCTAGTTTTTATGTGAAGAGTTTCCTTTTCCACCACAGGCCTCAAAGCCCTCCAAATGTCCACTTGCAGATTCTAGAAAAAGAGGGTTTCAGAGCTGCTCTGTCAAGAGGAAAGTTCAATTCCTGAAGTGGAACACAAACATCACAAAGCAGTTTCTGAGAATGCTCCTGTTTAGTTTTTCTGTGAAGATGAACCCGTTTCCAACGAAATCTTCACAGAGGTCCACATATCCACTTGCAGAATCCAAAGAAAGAGAGTTTCAAAACTGCTCCATCAGCAGGATTGTTCACCTCTGTGAGTTGAATGCAGTCATCACAGGAAACATTCTGAGAATGCTTCTGTCTAGGTTTGATGTGAAGATATACCCGTTTCGAAGGAAGGCCACAAAGTGGTCCAAATATCCACTTGCAGATTCTACAAAAAGAGTGTTTGAAAGCTGAACTATGAAAGCAAGGTTCAACTCTGTGAGTTGAATGCAAACATCACAAAGAAGTTTCTCAGAATGCTTCCGTGTAGTTCTGGGAAGTTTATCCCGTTTCCAACGAAATCCTCAGAGAAGTCCAAATATCCACTTGCAGATTCTACAGAAAGTGGGTTTGGAAACTGCTCCATCTAAAGGAATGTTCAGCTCTGTTAGTTCAATCCAATGATCACTAAGAATTGTCTGTGAATGCTTCCGTTTGGTTTTTAGATGAAGTTATTTCCTTTACTACAGTAGGCCTCAAAGCAGTCCAAATCTCCAATCGCAGATTCTACAAAAAGATTGTTTACAACCTGCTCTATCTATAGGAATGTTCAACTCTGTGAGTCGAATGCAATCATCACAAAGTAGTTTCTGAGAATGCTTCCATCTAGTTTTTATGTGAAGATTTTCCTTTTCCACCACAGGCCTCAAAGCCCTCCAAATGTCCACTTGCAGATTCTAGAAAAAGAGGGTTTCAGAGCTGCTCTGTCAAGAGGAAAGTTCAATTCCTGAAGTGGAACACAAACATCACAAAGCAGTTTCTGAGAATGCTTCTGTTTAGTTTTTCTGTGAAGATGAACCCGTTTCCAACGAAATCTTCACAGCGGTCCACATATCCACTTGCAGAATCCAAAGAAAGAGAGTTTCAAAACTGCTCCATCAGCAGGATTGTTCACCTCTGTCAGTTGAATGCAGTCATCACAGGAACCATTCTGAGAATGCTTCTGTCTAGGTTTGATGTGAAGATATACCCGTTTCGAAGGAAGGCCACAAAGTGGTCCAAATATCCACTTGCAGATTCTACAAAAAGAGTGTTTGAAAGCTGAACTATGAAAGCAAGGTTCAACTCTGTGAGTTGAATGCAAACATCACAAAGAAGTTTCTCACAATGCTTCCGTGTAGTTCTGGGAAGTTTATCCCGTTTCCAACGAAATCCTCAGTAGAAGTCCAAATATCCACTTGCAGATTCTACAGAAAGTGTGTTTGGAAACTGCGCCATCTAAAGGAATGTTCAGCTCTGTTAGTTCAATCCAATGATCACTAAGTATTGTCTGTGAATGCTTCCGTTTGGTTTTTAGATGAAGTTATTTCCTTTACTACAGTAGGCCTCAAAGCAGTCCAAATCTCCAATCGCAGATTCTACAAAAAGATTGTTTACAACCTGCTCTATCTATAGGAATGTTCAACTCTGTGAGTCGAATGCAATCATCACAAAGTAGTTTCTGAGAATGCTTCCATCTAGTTTTTATGTGAAGATTTTCCTTTTCCACCACAGGCCTCAAAGCCCTCCAAATGTCCACTTGCAGATTCTAGAAAAAGAGGGTTTCAGAGCTGCTCTGTCAAGAGGAAAGTTCAATTCTTGAAGTGGAACACAAACATCACAAAGCAGTTTCTGAGAATGTTTCTGTTTAGTTTTTCTGTGAAGATGAACCCGTTTCCAACGAAATCTTCACAGAGGTCCACATATCCACTTGCAGAATCCAAAGAAAGAGAGTTTCAAAACTGCTCCATCAGCAGGATTGTTCACCTCTGTGAGTTGAATGCAGTCATCACAGGAAACATTCTGAGAATGCTTCTGTCTAGGTTTGATGTGAAGATATACCCGTTTCGAAGGAAGGCCACAAAGTGGTCCAAATATCTACTTGCAGATTCTACAAAAAGAGTGTTTGAAAGCTGAACTATGAAAGCAAGGTTCAACTCTGTGAGTTGAATGCAAACATCACAAAGAAGTTTCTCAGAATGCTTCCGTGTAGTTCTGGGAAGTTTATCCCGTTTCCAACGAAATCCTCAGAGAAGTCCAAATATCCACTTGCAGATTCTACAGAAATTGGGTTTGGAACCTGCTCCATCTAAAGGAATATTCAGCTCTGTTAGTTCAATCCAATGATCACTAAGAATTGTCTGTGAATGCTTCCGTTTGGTTTTTAGATGAAGTTATTTCCTTTACTACAGTAGGCCTCAAAGCAGTCCAAATCTCCAATCTCAGATTCTACAAAAAGATTGTTTACAACCTGCTCTATCTTTAGGAATGTTCAACTCTGTGAGTCGAATGCAATCATCACAAAGTAGTTTCTGAGAATGCTTCCATCTAGTTTTTATGTGAAGATTTTCCTTTTCCACCACAGGCCTCAAAGCCCTCCAAATGTCCACTTGCAGATTCTAGAATAAGAGGATTTCAGAGCTGCTCTGTCAAGAGGAAAGTTCAATTCCTGAAGTGGAACACAAACATCACAAAGCAGTTTCTGAGAATGCTTCTGTTTAGTTTTTCTGTGAAGATGAACCCGTTTCCAACGAAATCTTCACAGAGGTCCACATATCCACTTGCAGAATCCAAAGAAAGAGAGTTTCAAAACTGCTCCATCAACAGGATTGTTCACCTCTGTGAGTTGAATGCAGTCATCACAGGAAACATTCTGAGAATGCTTCTGTCTAGGTTTGATGTGAAGATATAGCCGTTTCGAAGGAAGGCCACAAAGTGGTCCAAATATCCACTTGCAGATTCTACAAAAAGAGTGTTTGAAAGCTGAACTATGAAAGCAAGGTTGAATTCTGTGAGTTGAATGCAAACATCACAAAGAAGTTTCTCACAATGCTTCCGTGTAGTTCTGGGAAGTTTATCCCGTTTCCAACGAAATCCTCAGAGAGGTCCAAATATCCACTTGCAGATTCTACAGAAAGTGTGTTTGGAAACTGCGCCATCTAAAGGAATCTTCAGCTCTGTTAGTTCAATGCAATGATCACTAAGAATTGTCTGTGAATGCTTCCGTTTGGTTTTTAGATGAGGTTATTTCCTTTACTACAGTAGGCCTCAAAGCAGTCCAAATCTCCAATCGCAGATTCTACAAAAAGATTGTTTACAACCTGCTCTATCTATAGGAATGTTCAACTCTGTGAGTCGAATGCAATCATCACAAAGTAGTTTCTGAGAATGCTTCCATCTAGTTTTTATGTGAAGATTTTCCTTTTCCACCACAGGCCTCAAATCCCTCCAAATGTCCACATGCAGATTCTAGAAAAAGAGGGTTTCAGAGCTGCTCTCTCAAGAGGAAAGTTCAATTCCTGAAGTGGAACACAAACATCACAAAGCAGTTTCTGAGAATGCTCCTGTTTAGTTTTTCTGTGAAGATGAACCCGTTTCCAACGAAATCTTCAGAGAGGTCCACATATCCACTTGCAGAATCCAAAGAAAGAGAGTTTCAAAACTGCTCCATCAGCAGGATTGTTCACCTCTGTGAGTTGAATGCAGTCATCACAGGAAACATTCTGAGAATGCTTCTGTCTAGGTTTGATGTGAAGATATACCCGTTTCGAAGGAAGGCCACAAAGTGGTCCAAATATCCACTTGCAGATTCTACAAAAAGAGTGTTTGAAAGCTGAACTATGAAAGCAAGGTTCAACTCTGTGAGTTGAATGCAAACATCACAAAGAAGTTTCTCAGAATACTTCCGTGTAGTTCTGGGAAGTTTATCCTGTTTCCAACGAAATCCTCAGAGAAGTCCAAATATCCACTTGCAGATTCTACAGAAAGTGTGTTTGGAAACTCCTCCATCTAAAGGAATGTTCAGCTCTGTTAGTTCAATCCAATGATCACTACGAATTGTCTGTGAATGCTTCCGTTTGGTTTTTAGATGAAGTTATTTCCTTTACTACAGTAGGCCTCAAAGCAGTCCAAATCTCCAATCGCAGATTCTACAAAAAGATTGTTTACAACCTGCTCTATGTATAGGAATGTTCAACTCTGTGAGTCGAATGCAATCATCACAAAGTAGTTTCTGAGAATGCTTCCATCTAGTTTTTATGTGAAGATTTTCCTTTTCCACCACAGGCCTCAAAGCCCTCCAAATGTCCACTAGCAGATTCTAGAAAAAGAGGGTTTCAGAGCTGCTCTGTCAAGAGGAAAGTTCAATTCTTGAAGTGGAACACAAACATCACAAAGCAGTTTCTGAGAATGCTCCTGTTTAGTTTTTCTGTGAAGATGAACCCGTTTCCAACGAAATCTTCACAGAGGTCCACATATCCACTTGCAGAATCCAAAGAAAGAGAGTTTCAAAACTGCTCCATCAGGAGGATTGTTCACCTCTGTAAGTTGAATGCAGTCATCACAGGAAACATTCTGAGAATGCTTCTGTCTAGGTTTGATGTGAAGATATACCCGTTTCGAAGGAAGGCCACAAAGTGGTCCAAATATCCACTTGCAGATTCTACAAAAAGAGTGTTTGAAAGCTGAACTATGAAAGCAAGGTTCAACTCTGTGAGTTGAATGCAAACATCACAAAGAAGTTTCTCAGAATGCTTCCGTGTAGTTCTGGGAAGTTTATCCCGTTTCCAACGAAATCCTCAGAGAGGTCCAAATATCCACTTGCAGATTCTACAGAAAGTGGGTTTGGAAACTGCGCCATCTAAAGGAATGTTCAGCTCTGTTAGTTCAATGCAATGATCACTAAGAATTGTCTGTGAATGCTTCCGTTTGGTTTTTAGATGAAGTTATTTCCTTTACTACAGTAGGCCTCAAAGCAGTCCAAATCTCCAATCGCAGATTCTACAAAAAGATTGTTTACAACCTGCTCTATCTATAGGAATGTTCAACTCTGTGAGTCGAATGCAATCATCACAAAGTAGTTTCTGAGAATGCTTCCATCTAGTTTTTATGTGAAGATTTTCCTTTTCCACCACAGGCCTCAAAGCCCTCCAAATGTCCACTTGCAGATTCTAGAAAAAGAGGGTTTCAGAGCTGCTCTGTCAAGAGGAAAGTTCAATTCTTGAAGTGGAACACAAACATCACAAAGCAGTTTCTGAGAATGCTTCTGTTTAGTTTTTCTGTGAAGATGAACCCGTTTCCAACGAAATCTTCACAGAGGTCCACATATCCACTTGCAGAATCCAAAGAAAGAGAGTTTCAAAACTGCTCCATCAACAGGATTCTTCACCTCTGTGAGTTGAATGCAGTCATCACAGGAAACATTCTGAGAATGCTTCTGTCTAGGTTTGCTGTGAAGATATACCCGTTTCGAAGGAAGGCCACAAAGTGGTCCAAATATCCACTTGCAGATTCTACAAAAAGAGTGTTTGAAAGCTGAACTATGAAAGCAAGGTTCAACTCTGTGAGTTGAATGCAAACATCCAAAGAAGTTTCTCAGAATGCTTCCCGTGTAGTTCTGGGAATTTTATCCCGTTTCCAACGAAATCCTCAGAGAGGTCCAAATATCCACTTGCAGATTCTACAGAAAGTGTGTTTGGAAACTGCGCCATCTAAAGGAATGTTCAGCTCTGTTAGTTCAATGCAATGATCACTAAGAATTGTCTGTGAATGCTTCCGTTTGGTTTTTAGATGAAGTTATTTCCTTTACTACAGTAGGCCTCAAAGCAGTCCAAATCTCCAATCGCAGATTCTACAAAAAGATTGTTTACAACCTGCTCTATCTATAGGAATGTTCAACTCTGTGAGTCGAATGCAATCATCACAAAGTAGTTTCTGAGAATGCTTCCATCTAGTTTTTATGTGAAGATTTTCCTTTTCCACCACAGGCCTCAAAGCCCTCCAAATGTCCACTTGCAGATTCTAGAAAAAGAGGGTTTCAGAGCTGCTCTGTCAAGAGGAAAGTTCAATTCTTGAAGTGGAACACAAACATCACAAAGTAGTTTCTGAGAATGCTTCTGTTTAGTTTTTCTGTGAAGATGAACCCGTTTCCAACGAAATCTTCACAGAGGTCCACATATCAACTTGCAGAATCCAAAGAAAGAGAGTTTCAAAAGTGCTCCATCAACAGGATTGTTCACCTCTGTGAGTTGAATGCAGTCATCACAGGAAACATTCTGAGAATGCTTCTGTCTAGGTTTGATGTGAAGATATACCCGTTTCGAAGGAAGGCCACAAAGTGGTCCAAATATCCACTTGCAGATTCTACAAAAAGAGTGTTTGAAAGCTGAACTATGAAAGCAAGGTTCAACTCTGTGAGTTGAATGCAAACATCACAAAGAAGTTTCTCAGCATGCTTCCGTGTAGTTCTGGGAAGTTTATCCCGTTTCCAACGAAATCCTCAGAGAGGTCCAAATATCCACTTGCAGATTCTACAGAAAGTGGGTTTGGAAACTGCGCCATCTAAAGCAATTTTCAGCTCTGTTTGTTCAATGCAATGATCACTAAGAATTGTCTGTGAATGCTTCCGTTTGGTTTTTAGATGAAGTTATTTCCTTTACTACAGTAGGCCTCAAAGCAGTCCAAATCTCCAATCGCAGATTCTACAAAAAGATTGTTTACAACCTGCTCTATCTATAGGAATGTTCAACTCTGTGAGTCGAATGCAATCATCACAAAGTAGTTTCTGAGAATGCTTCCATCTAGTTTTTATGTGAAGATTTTCCTTTTCCACCACAGGCCTCAAAGCCCTCCAAATGTCCACTTGCAGATTCTAGAATAAGAGGATTTCAGAGCTGCTCTGTCAAGAGGAAAGTTCAATAACTGAAGTGCAACACAAACATCACAAAGCAGTTTCTGAGAATGCTTTCTGTTTAGTTTTTCTGTGAAAATGAACCCGTTTCCAACGAAATCTTCACAGAGGTCCACATATCCACTTGCAGAATCCAAAGAAAGAGAGATTCAAAACTGCTCCATCAACAGGATTGTTCACCTCTGTGAGTTGAATGCAGTCATCACAGGAAACATTCTGAGAATGCTTCTGTCTAGGTTTGATGTGAAGATATACCCGTTTCGAAGGAAGGCCACAAAGTGGTCCAAATATCCACTTGCAGATTCTACAAAAAGAGTGTTTGAAAGCTGAACTATGAAAGCAAGGTTCAACTCTGTGAGTTGAATGCAAACATCACAAAGAAGTTTCTCAGAATGCTTCCGTGTAGTTCTGGGAAGTTTATCCCGTTTCCAACGAAATCCTCACAGAGGTCCAAATATCCACTTGCAGATTCTACAGAAAGTGTGTTTGGAAACTGCTCCATCTAAAGGAATGTTCAGCTCTGTTAGTTCAATGCAATGATCACTAAGAATTGTCTGTGAATGCTTCCGTTTGGTTTTTAGATGAAGTTATTTCCTTTACTACAGTAGGCCTCAAAGCAGTCCAAATCTCCAATCGCAGATTCTACAAAAAGATTGTTTACAACCTGCTCTATCTATAGGAATGTTCAACTCTGTGAGTCGAATGCAATCATCACAAAGTAGTTTCTGAGAATGCTTCCATCTAGTTTTTATGTGAAGATTTTCCTTTTCCACCACAGGCCTCAAAGCCCTCCAAATGTCCACTTGCAGATTCTAGAAAAAGAGGGTTTCAGAGCTGCTCTGTCAAGAGGAAAGTTCAATTCCTGAAGTGGAACACAAACATCACAAAGCAGTTTCTGAGAATGCTCCTGTTTAGTTTTTCTGTGAAGATGAACCCGTTTCCAACGAAATCTTCACAGAGGTCCACATATCCACTTGCAGAATCCAAAGAAAGAGAGTTTCAAAACTGCTCCATCAGCAGGATTGTTCACCTCTGTGAGTTGAATGCAGTCATCACAGGAAACATTCTGAGAATGCTTCTGTCTAGGTTTGATGTGAAGATATACCCGTTTCGAAGGAAGGCCACAAAGTGGTCCAAATATCCACTTGCAGATTCTACAAAAAGAGTGTTTGAAAGCTGAACTATGAAAGCAAGGTTCAACTCTGTGAGTTGAATGCAAACATCACAAAGAAGTTTCTCAGCATGCTTCCGTGTAGTTCTGGGAAGTTTATCCCGTTTCCAACGAAATCCTCAGAGAAGTCCAAATATCCACTTGCAGATTCTACAGAAAGTGTGTTTGGAAACTGCTCCATCTAAAGGAATGTTCAGCTCTGTTAGTTCAATGCAATGATCACTAAGAATTGTCTGTGAATGCTTCCGTTTGGTTTTTAGATGATGTTATTTCCTTTACTACAGTAGGCCTCAAAGCAGTCCAAATCTCCAATCGCAGATTCTACAAAAAGATTGTTTACAACCTGCTCTATCTATAGGAATGTTCAACTCTGTGAGTCGAATGCAATCATCACAAAGTAGTTTCTGAGAATGCTTCCATCTAGTTTTTATGTGAAGATTTTCCTTTTCCACCACAGGCCTCAAAGCCCTCCAAATGTCCACTTGCAGATTCTAGAATAAGAGGGTTTCAGAGCTGCTCTGTCAAGAGGAAAGTTCAATTCCTGAAGTGGAACACAAACATCACAAAGCAGTTTCCGAGAATGCTTCTGTTTAGTTTTTCTGTGAAGATGAACCCGTTTCCAACGAAATCTTCACAGAGGTCCACATATCCACTTGCAGAATCCAAAGAAAGAGAGTTTCAAAACTGCTCCATCAGCAGGATTGTTCACCTCTGTGAGTTGAATGCAGTCATCACAGGAAACATTCTGAGAATGCTTCTGTCTAGGTTTGATGTGAAGTATATACCCGTTTCGAAGGAAGGCCACAAAGTGGTCCAAATATCCACTTGCAGATTCTACAAAAAGAGTGTTTGAAAGCTGAACTATGAAAGCAAGGTTCAACTCTGTGAGTTGAATGCAAACATCACAAAGAAGTTTCTCAGAATGCTTCCCTGTAGTTCTGGGAAGCATATCCCGTTTCCAACGAAATCCTCAGAGAAGTCCAAATATCCACTTGCAGATTCTACAGAAAGTGGGTTTGGAAACTGCTCCATCTAAAGGAATGTTCAGCTCTGTTAGTTCAATCCAATGATCACTAAGAATTTTCTGTGAATGCTTCCGTTTGGTTTTTAGATGAAGTTATTTCCTTTACTACAGTAGGCCTCAAAGCAGTCCAAATCTCCAATCGCAGATTCTACAAAAAGATTGTTTACAACCTGCTCTATCTATAGGAATGTTCAACTATGTGAGTCGAATGCAATCATCACAAAGTAGTTTCTGAGAATGCTTCCATCTAGTTTTTATGTGAAGATTTTCCTTTTCCACCACAGGCCTCAAAGCCCTCCAAATGTCCACTTGCAGATTCTAGAAAAAGAGGGTTTCAGAGCTGCTCTGTCAAGAGGAAAGTTCAATTCTTGAAGTGGAACACAAACATCACAAAGCAGTTTCTGGGAATGCTCCTGTTTAGTTTTTCTGTGAAGATGAACCCGTTTCCAACGAAATCTTCACAGAGGTCCACATATCCACTTGCAGAATCCAAAGAAAGAGAGTTTCAAAACTGCTCCATCAGAAGGATTGTTCACCTCTGTGAGTTGAATGCAGTCATCACAGGAAACATTCTGAGAATGCTTCTGTCTAGGTTTGATGTGAAGATATACCCGTTTCGAAGGAAGGCCACAAAGTGGTCCAAATATCCACTTGCAGATTCTACAAAAAGAGTGTTTGAAAGCTGAACTATGAAAGCAAGGTTCAACTCTGTGAGTTGAATGCAAACATCACAAAGAAGTTTCTCACAATGCTTCCGTGTAGTTCTGGGAAGTTTATCCCGTTTCCAACGAAATCCTCAGAGAAGTCCAAATATCCACTTGCAGATTCTACAGAAAGTGTGTTTGGAAACAGCGCCATCTAAAGGAGTGTTCAGCTCTGTTAGTTCAATCCAATGATCACTAAGAATTGTCTGTGAATGCTTCCGTTTGGTTTTTAGATGAAGTTATTTCCTTTACTACAGTAGGCCTCAAAGCAGTCCAAATCTCCAATCACAGATTCTACAAAAAGACTGTTTACAACCTGCTCTATCTATAGGAATGTTCAACTCTGTGAGTCGAATGCAATCATCACAAAGTAGTTTCTGAGAATGCTTCCATCTAGTTTTTATGTGAAGATTTTCCTTTTCCACCACAGGCCTCAAAGCCCTCCAAATGTCCACTTGCAGATTCTAGAATAAGAGGGTTTCAGAGCTGCTCTGTCAAGAGGAAAGTTCAATTCCTGAAGTGGAACACAAACATCACAAAGCAGTTTCTGAGAATGCTTCTGTTTAGTTTTTCTGTGAAGATGAACCCGTTTCCAACGAAATCTTCACAGAGGTCCACATATCCACTTGCAGAATCCAAAGAAAGAGAGTTTCAAAACTGCTCCATCAGCAGGATTGTTCACCTCGGTGAGTTGAATGCAGTCATCACAGGAAACATTCTGAGAATGCTTCTGTCTAGGTTTGATGTGAAGATATACCCGTTTCGAAGGAAGGCCACAAAGTGGTCCAAATATCCACTTGCAGATTCTACAAAAAGAGTGTTTGAAAGCTGAACTATGAAAGCAAGGTTCAACTCTGTGAGTTGAATGCAAACATCACAAAGAAGTTTCTCACAATGCTTCCGTGTAGTTCTGAGAAGTTTATCCCGTTTCCAACGAAATCCTCAGAGAAGTCCAAATATCCACTTGCAGATTCTACAGAAAGTTGGTTTGGAAACTGCTCCATCTAAAGGAATGTTCAGCTCTGTTAGTTCAATCCAATGATCACTAAGAATTGTCTGTGAATGCTTCCGTTTGGTTTTTAGATGAAGTTATTTCCTTTACTAGAGTAGGCCTCAAAGCAGTCCAAATCTCCAATCACAGATTCTACAAAAAGATTGTTTACAACCTGCTCTATCTATAGGAATGTTCAACTCTGTGAGTCGAATGCAATCATCACAAAGTAGTTTCTGAGAATGCTTCCATCTAGTTTTTATGTGAAGATTTTCCTTTTCCACCACAGGCCTCAAAGCCCTCCAAATGTCCACTTGCAGATTCTAGAATAAGAGGGTTTCAGAGCTGCTCTGTCAAGAGGAAAGTTCAATTCCTGAAGTGGAACACAAACATCACAAAGCAGTTTCTGAGAATGCTTCTGTTTAGTTTTTCTGTGAAGATGAACCCGTTTCCAACGAAATCTTCACAGAGGTCCCCATATCCACTTGCAGAATCCAAAGAAAGAGAGTTTCAAAACTGCTCCATCAGCAGGATTGTTCACCTCTGTGAGTTGAATGCAGTCATCACAGGAAACATTCTGAGAATGCTTCTGTCTAGGTTTGATGTGAAGATATACCCGTTTCGAAGGAAGGCCACAAAGTGGTCCAAATATCCACTTGCAGATTCTACAAAAAGAGTGTTTGAAAGCTGAACTATGAAAGCAAGGTTCAACTCTGTGAGTTGAATGCAAACATCACAAAGAAGTTTCTCACAATGCTTCCGTGTAGTTCTGGGAAGTTTATCCCGTTTCCAACGAAATCCTCAGAGAAGTCCAAATATCCACTTGCAGATTCTACAGAAAGTGTGTTTGGAAACTGCGCCATCTAAAGGAATGTTCAGCTCTGTTAGTTCAATGCAATGATCACTAAGAATTGTCTGTGAATGCTTCCGTTTGGTTTTTAGATGAAGTTATTTCCTTTACTACAGTAGGCCTCAAAGCAGTCCAAATCTCCAATCGCAGATTCTACAAAAAGATTGTTTACAACCTGCTCTATCTATAGGAATGTTCAACTCTGTGAGTCGAATGCAATCATCACAAAGTAGTTTCTGAGAATGCTTCCATCTAGTTTTTATGTGAAGATTTTCCTTTTCCACCACAGGCCTCAAAGCCCTCCAAATGTCCACTTGCAGATTCTAGAAAAAGAGGGTTTCAGAGCTGCTCTGTCAAGAGGAAAGTTCAATTCTTGAAGTGGAACACAAACATCACAAAGCAGTTTCTGAGAATGTTCCTGTTTAGTTTTTCTGTGAAGATGAACCCGTTTCCAACGAAATCTTCACAGAGGTCCACATATCCACTTGCAGAATCCAAAGAAAGAGAGTTTCAAAACTGCTCCATCAGCAGGATTGTTCACCTCTGTGAGTTGAATGCAGTCATCACAGGAAACATTCTGAGAATGCTTCTGTCTAGGTTTGATGTGAAGATATACCCGTTTCGAAGGAAGGCCACAAAGTGGTCCAAATATCCACTTGCAGATTCTACAAAAAGAGTGTTTGAAAGCTGAACTATGAAAGCAAGGTTCAACTCTGTGAGTTGAATGCAAACATCACAAAGAAGTTTCTCACAATGCTTCCGTGTAGTTCTGGGAAGTTTATCCCGTTTCCAACGAAATCCTCAGAGAAGTCCAAATATCCACTTGCAGATTCTACAGAAAGTGGGTTTGGAAACTGCTCCATCTAAAGGAATGTTCAGCTCTGTTAGTTGAATCCAATGATCACTAAGAATTGTCTGTGAATGCTTCCGTTTGGTTTTTAGATGAAGTAATTTCCTTTACTACAGTAGGCCTCAAAGCAGTCCAAATCTCCAATCGCAGATTCTACAAAAAGATTGTTTACAACCTGCTCTATCTATAGGAATGTTCAACTCTGTGAGTCGAATGCAATCATCACAAAGAAGTTTCTGAGAATGCTTCCATAAAGTTTTTATGTGAAGATTTTCCTTTTCCACCACAGGCCTCAAAGCCCTCCAAATGTCCACTTGCAGATTCTAGAAAAAGAGGGTTTCAGAGCTGCTCTGTCAAGAGGAAAGTTCAATTCTTTAAGTGGAACACAAACATCACAAAGCAGTTTCTGAGAATGCTCCTGTTTAGTTTTTCTGTGAAGATGAACCCGTTTCCAACGAAATCTTCACAGAGGTCCACATATCCACTTGCAGAATCCAAAGAAAGAGAGTTTCAAAACTGCTCCATCAGCAGGATTGTTCACCTCTGTGAGTTGAATGCAGTCATCACAGGAAACATTCTGAGAATGCTTCTGTCTAGGTTTGATGTGAAGATATAGCCGTTTCGAAGGAAGGCCACAAAGTGGTCCAAATATCCACTTGCAGATTCTACAAAAAGAGTGTTTGAAAGCTGAACTATGAAAGCAAGGTTCAACTCTGTGAGTTGAATGCAAACATCACAAAGAAGTTTCTCACAATGCTTCCGTGTAGTTCTGGGAAGTTTATCCCGTTTCCAACGAAATCCTCAGAGAGGTCCAAATATCCACTTGCAGATTCTACAGAAAGTGTGTTTGGAAACTGCGCCATCTAAAGGAATGTTCAGCTCTGTTAGTTCAATGCAATGATCACTAAGAATTGTCTGTGAATGCTTCCGTTTGGTTTTTAGATGAAGTTATTTCCTTTACTACAGTAGGCCTCAAAGCAGTCCAAATCTCCAATCGCAGATTCTACAAAAAGATTGTTTACAACCTGCTCTATGTATAGGAATGTTCAACTCTGTGAGTCGAATGCAATCATCACAAAGTAGTTTCTGAGAATGCTTCCATCTAGTTTTTATGTGAAGATTTTCCTTTTGCACCACAGGCCTCAAAGCCCTCCAAATGTCCACTTGCAGATTCTAGAAAAAGAGGGTTTCAGAGCTGCTCTGTCAAGGGGAAAGTTCAATTCTTGATGTGGAACACAAACATCACAAAGCAGTTTCTGAGAATGCTCCTGTTTAGTTTTTCTGTGAAGATGAACCCGTTTCCAACGAAATCTTCACAGAGGTCCACATATCCACTTGCAGAATCCAAAGAAAGAGAGTTTCAAAACTGCTCCATCAGCAGGATTGTTCACCTCTGTGAGTTGAATGCAGTCATCACAGGAAACATTCTGAGAATGCTTCTGTCTAGGTTTGATGTGAAGATATACCCGTTTCGAAGGAAGGCCACAAAGTGGTCCAAATATCCACTTGCAGATTCTACAAAAAGAGTGTTTGAAAGCTGAACTATGAAAGCAAGGTTCAACCCTGTGAGTTGAATGCAAACATCACAAAGAAGTTTCTCAGAATGCTTCCGTGTAGTTCTGGGAAGTTTATCCCGTTTCCAACGAAATCCTCAGAGAGGTCCAAATATCCACTTGCAGATTCTACAGAAAGTGTGTTTGGAAACTGCGCCATCTAAAGGAATGTTCAGCTCTGTTAGTTCAATGCAATGATCACTAACAATTGTCTGTGAATGCTTCCGTTTGGTTTTTAGATGAAGTTATTTCCTTTACTACAGTAGGCCTCAAAGCAGTCCAAATCTCCAATCGCAGATTCTACAAAAAGATTGTTTACAACCTGCTCTATCTATAGGAATGTTCAACTCTGTGAGTCGAATGCAATCATCACAAAGTAGTTTCTGAGAATGCTTCCATCTAGTTTTTATGTGAAGATTTTCCTTTTCCACCACAGGCCTCAAAGCCCTCCAAATGTCCACTTGCAGATTCTAGAATAAGAGGGTTTCAGAGCTGCTCTGTCAAGAGGAAAGTACAATTCCTGAAGTGGAACACAAACATCACAAAGCAGTTTCTGAGAATGCTCCTGCTTAGTTTTTCTGTGAAGATGAACCCGTTTCCAACGAAATGTTCACAGAGGTCCACATATCCACTTGCAGAATACAAAGAAAGAGAGTTTCAAAACTGGTCCATCAGCAGGATTGTTCACCTCTGTGAGTTGAATGCAGTCATCACAGAAAACATTCTGAGAATGCTTCTGTCTAGGTTTGATGTGAAGATATACCCGTTTCGAAGGAAGGCCAAAAAGTGGTCCAAATATCCACTTGCAGATTCTACAAAAAGAGTGTTTGAAAGCTGAACTATGAAAGCAAGGTTCAACTCTGTGAGTTGAATGCAAACATCACAAAGAAGTTTCTCACAATGCTTCCGTGTAGTTCTGGGAAGTTTATCCCGTTTCCAACGAAATCCTCAGAGAAGTCCAAATATCCACTTGCAGATTCTACAGAAAGTGTGTTTGGAAACTGCTCCATCTAAAGGAATGTTCAGCTCTGTTAGTTCAATCCCATGATCACTAAGAATTGTCTGTGAATGCTTCCATTTTGGTTTTTAGATGAAGTTATTTCCTTTACTACAGTAGGCCTCAAAGCAGTCCAAATCTCCAATCGCAGATTCTACAAAAAGATTGTTTACAACCTGCTCTATCTATAGGAATGTTCAACTCTGTGAGTCGAATGCAATCATCACAAAGTAGTTTCTGAGAATGCTTCCATCTAGTTTTTATGTGAAGATTTTCCTTTTCCACCACAGGCCTCAAAGCCCTCCAAATGTCCACTTGCAGATTCTAGAATAAGAGGGTTTCAGAGCTGCTCTTTCAAGAGGAAAGTTCAATTCCTGAAGTGGAACACAAACATCACAAAGCAGTTTCTGAGAATGCTTCTGTTTAGTTTTTCTGTGAAGATGAACCCGTTTCCAACGAAATCTTCACAGAGGTCCACATATCCACTTGCAGAATCCAAAGAAAGAGAGTTTCAAAACTGCTCCATCAGCAGGATTGTTCACCTCTGTGAGTTGAATGCAGTCATCACAGGAAACATTCTGAGAATGCTTCTGTCTAGGTTTGATGTGAAGATATACCCTTTTCAAAGGAAGGCCACAAAGTGGTCCAAATATCCACTTGCAGATTCTACAAAAAGAGTGTTTGAAAGCTGAACTATGAAAGCAAGGTTCAACTCTGTGAGTTGAATGCAAACATCACAAAGAAGTTTCTCACAATGCTTCCGTGTAGTTCTGGGAAGTTTATCCCGTTTCCAACGAAATCCTCAGAGAAGTCCAAATATCCACTTGCAGATTCTACAGAAAGTGTGTTTGGAAACTGCTCCATCTAAAGGAATGTTCAGCTCTGTTAGTTCAATCCAATGATCACTAAGAATTGTCTGTGAATGCTTCCGTTTGGTTTTTAGATGAAGTTATTTCCTTTACTACAGTAGGGCTCAAAGCAGTCCAAATCTCCAATCGCAGATTCTACAAAAAGATTGTTTACAACCTGCTCTATCTATAGGAATGTTCAACACTGTGACTCGAATGCAATCATCACAAAGTAGTTTGTGAGAATGCTTCCATCTAGTTTTTATGGGAAGATTTTCCTTTTCCACCACAGGCCTCAAAGCCCTCCAAATGTCCACTTGCAGATTCTAGAAAAAGAGGGTTTCAGAGCTGCTCTGTCAAGAGGAAAGTTCAATTCTTGAAGTGGAACACAAACATCACAAAGCAGTTTCTGAGAATGCTTCTGTTTAGTTTTTCTGTGAAGATGAACCCGTTTCCAACGAAATCTTCACAGAGGTCCACATATCCACTTGCAGAATCCAAAGAAAGAGAGTTTCAAAACTGCTCCATCAAAAGGATTCTTCACCTCTGTGAGTTGAATGCAGTCATCACAGGAAACATTCTGAGAATGCTTCTGTCTAGGTTTGATGTGAAGATGTACCCGTTTCAAAGGAAGGCCACAAAGTGGTCCAAATATCCACTTGCAGATTCTACAAAAAGAGTGTTTGAAAGCTGAACTATGAAAGCAAGGTTCAACTCTGTGAGTTGAATGCCAACATCAGAAAGATGATTCTCACAATGCTTCCGTGTAGTTCTGGGAAGTTTATCCCGTTTCCAACGAAATCCTCAGAGAAGTCCAAATATCCACTTGCAGATTCTGCAGAAAGTGTGTTTGGAAACTGCTCCATCTAAAGGAATGTTCAGCTCTGTTAGCTCAATCCAATGATCACTAAGAATTGTCTGTGAATGCTTCCGTTTGGTTTTTAGATGAAGTTATTTCCTTTACTACAGTAGGCCTCAAAGCAGTCCAAATCTCCAATCGCAGATTCTACAAAAACATTGTTTACAACCTGCTCTATCTATAGGAATGTTCAACTCTGTGAGTCGAATGCAATCATCACAAAGTAGTTTCTGAGAATGCTTCCATCTAGTTTTTATGTGAAGATTTTCGTTTTCCACCACAGGCCTCAAAGCCCTCCAAATGTCCACTTGCAGATTCTAGAAAAAGAGGGTTTCAGAGCTGCTCTGTCAAGAGAAAAGTTCTATTCTTGAAGTGGAACACAAACATCACAAAGCAGTTTCTGAGAATGCTTCTGTTTAGTTTTTCTGTGAAGATGAACCCGTTTCCAACGAAATCTTCACAGAGGTCCACATATCCACTTGCAGAATCCAAAGAAAGAGAGTTTCAAAACTGCTCCATCAGCAGGATTGTTCACCTCTGTGAGTTGAATGCAGTCATCACAGGAAACATTCTGAGAATGCTTCTGTCTAGGTTTGATGTGAAGATATACCCTTTTCGAAGGAAGGCCACAAAGTGGTCCAAATATCCACTTGCAGATTCTACAAAAAGAGTGTTTGAAAGCTGAACTATGAAAGCAAGGTTCAACTCTGTGAGTTGAATGCAAACATCACAAAGAAGTTTCTCACAATGCTTCCGTGTAGTTCTGGGAAGTTTATCCCGTTTCCAACGAAATCCTCAGAGAAGTCCAAATATCCACTTGCAGATTCTACAGAAAGTGGGTTTGGAAACTGCTCCATCTAAAGGAATGTTCAGCTCTGTTAGTTCAATCCAATGATCACTAAGAATTGTCTGTGAATGCTTCCGTTTGGTTTTTAGATGAAGTTATTTCCTTTACTACAGTAGGCCTCAAAGCAGTCCAAATCTCCAATCGCAGATTCTACAAAAAGATTGTTTACAACCTGCTCTATCTATAGGAATGTTCAACTCTGTGAGTCGAATGCAATCATCACAAAGTAGTTTCTGAGAATGCTTCCATCTAGTTTTTATGTGAAGATTTTCCTTTTCCACCACAGGCCTCAAAGCCCTCCAAATGTCCACTTGCAGATTCTAGAAAAAGAGGGTTTCAGAGCTGCTCTGTCAAGAGGAAAGTTCAATTCCTGAAGTGGAACACAAACATCACAAAGCAGTTTCTGAGAATGCTCCTGTTTAGTTTTTCTGTGAAGATGAACCCGTTTCCAACGAAATCTTCACAGAGGTCCACATATCCACTTGCAGAATCCAAAGAAAGAGAGTTTCAAAACTGCTCCATCAGCAGGATTGTCCACCTCTGTGAGTTGAATGCAGTCATCACAGGAAACATTCTGAGAATGCTTCTGTCTAGGTTTGATGTGAAGATATACCCGTTTCGAAGGAAGGCCACAAAGTGGTCCAAATATCCACTTGCAGATTCTACAAAAAGAGTGTTTGAAAGCTGAACTATGAAAGCAAGGTTCAACTCTGTGAGTTGAATGCAAACATCACAAAGAAGTTTCTCAGAATGCTTCCGTGTAGTTCTGGGAAGTTTATCCCGTTTCCAACGAAATCCTCAGAGAGGTCCAAATATCCACTTGCAGATTCTACAGAAAGTGTGTTTGGAAACTACGCCATCTAAAGGAATGTTCAGCTCTGTTAGATCAATGCAATGATCACTAAGAATTGTCTGTGAATGCTTCCGTTTGGTTTTTAGATGAAGTTATTTCCTTTACTACAGTAGGCCTCAAAGCAGTCCAAATCTCCAATCGCAGATTCTACAAAAAGATTGTTTACAACCTGCTCTATCTATAGGAATGTTCAACTCTGTGAGTCGAATGCAATCATCACAAAGTAGTTTCTGAGAATGCTTCCATCTAGTTTTTATGTGAAGATTTTCCTTTTCCACCACAGGCCTCAAAGCCCTCCAAATGTCCACTTGCAGATTCTAGAAAAAGAGGGTTTCAGAGCTGCTCTGTCAAGAGGAAAGTTCAATTCTTGAAGTGGAACACAAACATCACAAAGCAGTTTCTGAGAATGCTTCTGTTTAGTTTTTCTGTGAAGATGAACCCGTTTCCAACGAAATCTTCACAGAGGTCCACATATCAACTTGCAGAATCCAAAGAAAGAGAGTTTCAAAAGTGCTCCATCAACAGGATTGTTCACCTCTGTGAGTTGAATGCAGTCATCACAGGAAACATTCTGAGAATGCTTCTGTCTAGGTTTGATGTGAAGATATACCCTTTTCAAAGGAAGGCCACAAAGTGGTCCAAATATCCACTTGCAGATTCTACAAAAAGAGTGTTTGAAAGCTGAACTATGAAAGCAAGGTTCAACTCTGTGAGTTGAATGCAAACATCACAAAGAAGTTTCTCAAAATGCTTCCGTGTAGTTCTGGGAAGTTTATCCCGTTTCCAACGAAATCCTCAGAGAAGTCCAAATATCCACTAGCAGATTCTACAGAAAGTGGGTTTGGCAACTGCTCCATCTAAAGGAATGTTCAGCTCTGTTAGTTCAATCCAATGATCACTAAGAATTGTCTGTGAATGCTTCCGTTTGGTTTTTAGATGAAGTTATTTCCTTTACTACAGTAGGCCTCAAAGCAATCCAAATCTCCAATCGCAGATTCTACAAAAACATTGTTTACAACCTGCTCTATCTATAGGAATGTTCAACTCTGTGAGTCGAATGCAATCATCACAAAGTAGTTTCTGAGAATGCTTCCATCTAGTTTTTATGTGAAGATTTTCCTTTTCCACCACAGGCCTCAAAGCCCTCCAAATGTCCACTTGCAGATTCTAGAAAAAGAGGGTTTCAGAGCTGCTCTGTCAAGAGGAAAGTTCAATTCCTGAAGTGGAACACAATAATCACAAAGCAGTTTCTGAGAATGCTTCTGTTTAGTTTTTCTGTGAAGATGAACCCGTTTCCAACGAAATCTTCACAGAGGTCCACATATCAACTTGCAGAATCCAAAGAAAGAGAGTTTCAAAAGTGCTCCATCAACAGGATTGTTCACCTCTGTGAGTTGAATGCAGTCATCACAGGAAACATTCTGAGAATGCTTCTGTCTAGGTTTGATGTGAAGATATACCCGTTTCGAAGGAAGGCCAGAAAGTGGTCCAAATATCCACTTGCAGATTCTACAAAAAGAGTGTTTGAAAGCTGAACTATGAAAGCAAGGTTCAACTCTGTGAGTTGAATGCAAACATCACAAAGAAGTTTCTCAGAATGCTTCCGTGTAGTTCTGGGAAGTTTATCCCGTTTCCAACGAAATGCTCAGAGAGGTCCAAATATCCGCTTGCAGATTCTACAGAAAGTGTGTTTGGAAACTGCGCCATCTAAAGGAATGTTCAGCTCTGTTAGTTCAATGCAATGATCACTAAGAATTGTCTGTGAATGCTTCCGTTTGGTTTTTAGATGAAGTTATTTCCTTTACTACAGTAGGCCTCAAAGCAGTCCAAATCTCCAATCGCAGATTCTACAAAAAGATTGTTTACAACCTGCTCTATCTATAGGAATGTTCAACTCTGTGAGTCGAATGCAATCATCACAAAGTAGTTTCTGAGAATGCTTCCATCTAGTTTTTATGTGAAGATTTTCCTTTTCCACCACAGGCCTCAAAGCCCTCCAAATGTCCACTTGCAGATTCTAGAAAAAGAGGGTTTCAGAGCTGCTCTGTCAAGAGGAAAGTTCAATTCTTGAAGTGGAACACAAACATCACAAAGTAGTTTCTGAGAATGCTTCTGTTTAGTTTTTCTGTGAAGATGAACCCGTTTCCAACGAAATGTTCTCAGAGGTCCACATATCAACTTGCAGAATCCAAAGAAAGAGAGTTTCAAAAGTGCTCCATCAACAGGATTGTTCACCTCTGTGAGTTGAATGCAGTCATCACAGGAAACATTCTGAGAATGCTTCTGTCTAGGTTTGATGTGAAGATATACCCGTTTCGAAGGAAGGCCACAAAGTGGTCCAAATATCCACTTGCAGATTCTACAAAAAGAGTGTTTGAAAGCTGAACTATGAAAGCAAGGTTCAACTCTGTGAGTTGAATGCAAACATCACAAAGAAGTTTCTCAGCATGCTTCCGTGTAGTTCTGGGAAGTTTATCCCCTTTACAACGAAATCCTCAGAGAAGTCCAAATATCCACTTGCAGATTCTACAGAAAGTGTGTTTGGAAACTGCTCCATCTAAAGGAATGTTCAGCTCTGTTAGTTCAATCCAATGATCACTAAGAATTGTCTGTGAATGCTTCCGTTTGGTTTTTAGATGAAGTTATTTCCTTTACTACAGTAGCCCTCAAAGCAGTCCAAATCTCCAATCGCAGATTCTACAAAAAGATTGTTTACAACCTGCTCTATCTATAGGAATGTTCAACTCTGTGAGTCGAATGCAATCATCACAAAGTAGTTTCTGAGAATGCTTCCATCTAGTTTGTATGGGAAGATTTTCCTTTTCCACCACAGGCCTCAAAGCCCTCCAAATGTCCACTTGCAGATTCTAGAATAAGAGGGTTTCAGAGCTGCTCTGTCAAGAGGAAAGTTCAGTTCCTGAAGTGGAACGCAAACATCACAAAGCAGTTTCTGAGAATGCTTCTGTTTAGTTTTTCTGTGAAGATGAACCCGTTTCCAACGAAATCTTCACAGAGGTCCACATATCCACTTGCAGAATCCAAAGAAAGAGAGTTTCAAAACTGCTCCATCAGCAGGATTGTTCACCTCTGTGAGTTGAATGCAGTCATCACAGGAAACATTCTGAGAATGCTTCTGTCTAGGTTTGATGTGAAGATATACCCGTTTCGAAGGAAGGCCACAAAGTGGTCCAAATATCCACTTGCAGATTCTACAAAAAGAGTGTTTGAAAGCTGAACTATGAAAGCAAGGTTCAACTCTGTGAGTTGAATGCAAACATCACAAAGAAGTTTCTCACAATGCTTCCGTGTAGTTCTGGGAAGTTTATCCCGTTTCCAACGAAATCCTCAGAGAAGTCCAAATATCCACTTGCAGATTCTACAGAAAGTGTGTTTGGAAACTGCGCCATCTAAAGGAATGTTCAGCTCTGTTAGTTCAATGCAATGATCACTAAGAATTGTCTGTGAATGCTTCCGTTTGGTTTTTAGATGAAGTTATTTCCTTTACTACAGTAGGCCTCAAAGCAGTCCAAATCTCCAATCGCAGATTCTACAAAAAGATTGTTTACAACCTGCTCTATCTATAGGAATGTTCAACTCTGTGAGTCGAATGCAATCATCACAAAGTAGTTTCTGAGAATGCTTCCATCTATTTTTTATGTGAAGATTTTCCTTTTCCACCACAGGCCTCAAAGCCCTCCAAATGTCCACTTGCAGATTGTAGAAAAAGAGGGTTTCAGAGCTGCTCTGTCAAGAGGAAAGT